>NC_000005.10:155460006-155760324 GCF_000001405.40 Homo sapiens | reverse complement strand
AGAGTGATGATGAGGATGATGGAGAGGATGATGAATAGGGTGATGGAGAGGGTGATGCTGAGGATGATGGAGAGGGTGATGGAGATGATGATGGACAGGGTGATGGAGAGGGTGTTGGTGAGGATGATGGAGATGATGATGGAGAGGGTGTTGGTGAGGATGATGGTGAGGATGATAGAGAGGGTGATGGAGATGATGATGGAGAGGTTGATGGAGAGGGTGTTGGTGAATATGATGCAGAGGGTGATGGAGAGGGTGATGATGATAACAATGGTGAGATAAACATCTCAAATTTATTATGATGATGGTGAGGATAAAATCTGCTTGTGGATCTGTTCCTGGAAGTTGCTTTGACATAAGCTAACCGGATGAAATGTATGTGCAGAAACGTAACATGAGTTACTTCGTAGAAAATTTCTCTTGCCTCCTGGCAGCAGAGCTAATGGCTCAGAAGCTGTTCAACCTAATGAATTTGATAATAGCTGAGAAGTATGTGATAGTAACTAAGATTTGGAGGTCAATACAGAGCTAAGAGTTGAAACAAGATGACCTGTCCAATGGATGCAGAAGAAAAGAAAGGAAAGATGCCTCAAAATGTAGCACTTTACTAATCAATAATAAATTTGGTCATTTACTTCCTGACGGTGAACATCTCACCATGATTACTCTTTACAGTGAAATATGCACACTGCTGACTTATGGATTCAAAGAAGTTGGTGCGTCCTTGCCCATGTGCTATCTTGTACACAAGCCCTGAGCAGCGGAGTGTGCATGTTTAAAGATGTTTCTGGGATTTCAAGCACAGTGTCATTGCTTGTAATCTCAGAAACAGTTTTTCAAAAAAGTCTTAAACAATTAATAAATATAAATGCTTACTCTGCATTAATATCATCTATGTAGAAAGTTACATTTCAGAAAGAAGAGAATATAAAGATAGGAATGCAGTGAATAAGCAATAGAGAGAAAAAAGGTGGTGAGAGAGAGAGAAGGGGATGGTGCATGAAATTCACTTGCAACACCATAATGTTCTACATGTTATATAACTGAAATATTAATTTTAGCCCCTTAGCTATGATACTGAAAACATTTGCTCGACAAAGGCTAATGTCTAAATATTATAATGCAAACTTATTACAACAGGGTTTGAGACAAATTGGAAGCTTCATCAAATCTTGAAAAGTCAGGCCAGGTGTGGTGGCTCATGCCTGTAATCCTAGTGCTTTGGGAGGCCAAGGCAGGAGGATCACTTGAGCCTAGAAGTTTGAGACCAGCCTGGGCAATATAGCACAATCTTGACTCTAAAAAAAAAATAAAAATAAAAAAAATCATAAAAACTCGAAAAGCTTTTCAATCACAGAATAATACACCAACTTCATGATCAAATATCACGGTAAACTGACCACCAACTTCCCTGAGGACAAGAAAGGCATAAAATAGAAGGCAGTTAGCCTTCCAGAATTGTCTTATCCATCAAGAAAGAAAAAGAGCCACAGTCAGTCAGTCTAGGCCAGAGGTCCCCTACCTTTTAGCACCAAGGACCAGTTTTGTGGAAGACAATTTTTCCATGGACTGGGCTGGGTCGGGGTGGTGATTTGGGAATGAAACTGTTCTACTTCAGATCTTCAGGCACTAGATTCTCATAAGGAGTGCACAACCTAGATCCCTCACATGTGCAGTTCACAATACGGTTCGTGCTCCTGTGAGAATCAAATGCCACTGCTGATCTGAAGGAGCCTGGAGCTCAGGTGGTAATGTTTGCTGGCTTATCACTCACCTCCTGCTGTGCAGCCCAGTTGCTAACAGGCCATGGACCGGTACCAGTCCATAACCCTGGGCCAGGCCACATGAAATGCGAAACTACACTTGCAAATTATCTTTTTGCAAATTTCACTTATGTAACATAAAAGTATTGATGACTTCAATCATCAATAACTTGGAAACAGAAACTGTCCTTCCCTTCCCAATAGTTTAGTAAGGACAGTGGTAAGCATACATCTGCAGAGCTAACACCAATCAGGAAAATCACTTTGCCACGGCTGTTATAGCCTGGTTCTGCTCATAACTCAGACTAAAACTAAACATGGAAAACTTTATTATTTTGTATTTGTTTGTTTGTTTTGTTTCCTTTTTCCCATGTTCTAAACATGGGAAACTTCAATTCAAGGTATCTACTAAGGAGACTGACTCACAACACCAGAGGAGGACTATATTAGTCTGTTTTCATGCTGCTGATAAAGACATTCCTGAGACTGGGCAATTTACACAGGAAAGAGGTTTAATGGAGAACTCACAGTTCTGTGTAGCTGGAGAAGCCTCACAATAATGGCAGAAGGCAAGCAGGAACAAGTCACCTATTACACGGATGGTGGCAGGCAAAGAGAGAGCTTGTGCAGGGAAACTCCCCATTATAGAACCATCAAATCTCATGAGACTTATTCACTATCACAAGGCCAGCATGGGAAAGACCTGCCCCCATGATTCAATTACCTTCCATGGGGCGCTTCCCACAACATCTGGGAATTCAAGATGAGATTTGAGTGGAGACACAGCCAAACCATATCAAGGACTATTAAGAATCCTGGAAGCCATGCAAGTCCATACAGCAAGTTTGAGAGCATGGAAGGAACTCTGATCCTGAAGAGGACCCACCCAACATCCTGTACAACCCGGGGCATGTCCCTTTCAGTTCTTAGCCTCAACCACAATAAGCAACAGGTATGACAGGAGAGTACAGTAGCTGGGTGTCTATGTTTTGCTGTCAGAGACCCTTGGGTCGATCATCCTGCTCTGTCACTTAGTAACTATTTAGGGCTAAACAAGGCACTTGAGTTCTCCAAGGTTCTGTCTTTCCATTTCCAAAGAAAATATTACCCGCCCTACTGAAAGTTATAAAGATTAAATGAGGTTTTACATATGCAAAACATTTAGCCTGTACCTGTTGCATACAAAGATGGGTAAAATATTGCTTAATTTGCAGGGCTATAGCAAGAATTAAATCAGTTAGAATATATGAAAATCACTTAGTGAAGTACCTGCCATATAGTACTTATTCAATAAATACTGGCTCATTGTTATTATAGATTAAGCCTTGAGGTCCCTGCCAGCTCTAGGCCTTCTATTATTCTATAAACTCTATCTCTTGCAACTTAAATTTAATGCAAGTTTCCAAGACGAGCATGTTTGCCACCACCCTCCTCAGAAATTGAAACAGAATATGCAATGCCAAGGCAGAAGCCCCATTGACAAGCCAAGTGGCAGGTATAGCCTCTTTCAGCATAGACCCCGCCTGTGGTCCAAAGCTGATAGACTGGTATCACCCACTGCTTACCGTGAATACCTGATACAGACACACACCCAACCCTGGTATTTATCCCAGGAGCCTGAGACAAAATCAAAGTCTAAGGTGCTCCTAGGAGGGGTAGTTTGATGCCATACTCATGTCATTGCTGTAGTTGACATCACCCATACACCAGTGTGTACAACTCATGCCGATTTCAATGTGAGCTTTCAGACTCACTATTTGTGGTGCAGGTGATTGTCATTCCTTGGACAGCTTCTCAGGGAAGTGTTTAATATTCATGAGCCATACCTGCAAAACACCTTGCATTTCTCAGAAACCAGTAATGTTTTTATATCAATTCTAGCCACATGAAATTGCAACTGTGGCTGGGCAACAATGATAAAAACAACAGCTTATGTTTATTAAATGGTTCACTATGTGCTAGGGACTGTACTGAACACTTTGTAAATATAATCTCACTGAATCCCTACAACAACTCTAGGGATGGTCCTTGAAAGTAACCGGGCTTTGTGTGATATTCACAGAAGGTCTCTTTTCTTGGCCAAGATATCAACAATTTGGGGGATGTGATGGGAAGAGGAAGAAAGATCAACATATGGAATAAAAAAGTCTGCTATCCAGCAACAAGGCAGAAAGATTTTATAAGGAAATAAGTCTTAGAAAAGAAACAGCTTAAACTTTCTCGACCTCTAGATTTCCAACTAATTTTCACATGTGAAAGTTGGACCCTATGGATAATCAGTACCCTATGGATAATCCCCTACATTTCTCTGAATAGTTCCTTAACCCACTGACCTTCTGCATGTTGATCAAAGATTGCCCAGTGGTGCTGTACAAAAGTCACATCAGCTTTCTCTACTATGCTATGCCCTTTTACAGATCAGAAAACTGAGGCAGTTAAGTTCACAAGGTCATGCAGCTGGTAAGCATTGAGAGGGAACACCTGAACCCATGTCTGGCTAACTCCAGAGGCTCATCACTCTTATCCATTACATACACACTTTGTAATTGAACAAATGACAAGATACCAATACCAGCAAGGTGATAAAAGTTATTCCTAATTTTAAAGCACCAAAGTTCTATTGATTTCTTTTCTTATGACTCTGAAGAGGAAAATGACAGAAGACAAAAACCATTCATCTATTTAACCACAATCAATTGCATGCCCACTACCTATCTAACACCCTGCACATAACAGGACCATAAACATTAACAAATTGAAAGTCAGCTCCCGAGTAATTCAGTTTGGAGAAGGAGAGATCCCTGTAAAAGAGAAGTTACACAGAACAGAATAAATGTGTTCTCAGAAATATTGTCAGGGTTACAAGAACACAGAAGGATCCAGCCTACAGAAGGATCCAGCCTACCCCAGGGGCATGCCCAGGAAACTATGAGGAAAATAAAAGTAAAGGGCAATTCTTACCATAAAAGAAAGAATCCCAAGAACCAGTCCTTTTCAACTTACCCATCACTATGCACTAGAGAGAAAACCTTCAGCTATGACAACATGCTGGGTAATATTCTGATTTACAGCAAAGAGCCAATATATGTTTTCCTCCACAAAGCAAATGACTCCAAGACAAATTGTTTTATAATGTTGGATTTGAGAGGTCTGATAGTTCTATTAGTCTCTTAGCATAGGTCTCAGAGCAGTACAAACAAACAGAAATAAAACATCAAGTCCTAGGTTATGAAAATGTTATTTTTGTGGTTTATGTGAATCAACCCAGGTAGGGCACAATAAATTACTAATCTTTTTGTTTTAATAAATGTGTTTACCAGTTAAGGAGAAAGCAGCTTGATTCAATGTTTCATAGAGCACTCAATTTCAGTAAATTAAAGTTAATAATATTTCTCCATAAGCTATGATAACATCTCATGGTGAATCACAAAGAAAATGCACCATATTCTAGGAAAATGTAGCATCAGGGCCTCTTGCACTCTGGCAGTCTTTTGACTTGAAGAGACAGAGTTTAATGTACATTATTATCACAGTTCAGAGGTGGCAGCCTGGGGAGGGCAGGTGGCTGATGGGTGCGTCACCCATTTCTTTGGGTCCTCTCTGGCTTTCATGGCTGCAAAACTGGGCTGACTCTAAGCCAGCATTTGTATCTGGAAAGTCATCAAATGTGGAAAGTTAAGGGAGAATTTTAAACAGAGGTTAGAAATAATTACGAATGTGTAAATCATCACCAGACAACTCTGCAACTACTACTATGCATAAAATTAAGCCCTATGAAATAAAATGCCTTATCAATAAACTTCCAGTTATAAATTAAGGCTAGAAAAACATTTCCTCCCTTTTGTCTGTTGAAAAATAAAATTCACTCTTCAATGACGTTTTCTTAACACTCTTAGGTGGTTTAAAACTAGTGTTTAATGTTCCACCTTATAACTGACGCCATAACATATTGCTGCACACCAGTGCAATACAATGTAATGTGATTATCTGGGTAATTGTTGTATAGTTCCCTGTGACTCTGCTGCAACTAATGTTATCTCATTCCTCCTACTCCTCCATGCTGGAGATTGGAAGCAGGAGACCTTCTCCCTTTGTGCCTGTGTGTCATGACTCTGTAACTCTTGTACTCTTAATTAGTCCTTTCCTCCCATGGCAAGTGTCACAAATCATAGGGCAGGCTATTCATGGCCTGCCTGCTCACTGTCTGAAGTCAAACTCACTCTTAATTATAGTCCCTTATATTTGGATGCCATTTCTCTGTTTACAAAATTTTCTCATGCCCATATCTCATTTCGTTTACACAATAAGCCCATGATGGAGACAAAGCAGGGATTACTATTCCTAACAGATATATCAGGCAACAGAAGATTAGAAAAGCATTCATGGTCACAGGTCCCTGCCAGGTCAAGAGCAAATTCAGGACTCCAAATGATAGTCCAGTTCTGTTTCCACAACATTTGGCTGGCTTCCCATTTCAATGAGTATTTTCTCCTGGTACTCCCCATACACAGTCTGCAAACTCAAAGGCCATAGGAACGCAACAGGCAATATCAATGAGTGAATCATGTCAGTGCAAGACGATATGGAATGACAGGGGACTATGGCAAAGTGGTGGATGTTTTGGGAACTCTGCCTAAAAACACGTCAATTGAAAAAAAAAATTAAATGTGACATGGGTCAAAAAACATGCACATTTGGGAGGAGGACCTGGGGGCTGGTGATTCCAGCATTGCACATGCATATCAATGTGTATCCAGGGTATAATAGAGCCTCTACACATAGAGGCACACCTGGGAACCCTATCCCTACACGATTGAGAACTGAGTTCACAAGGGAAACTTGATTCCCGGTTTTGAGAGCCTCACAGGCTACTAGGAAATGGGAGACATTCCTCTCTAAACATCACCTGCTCTGTGAAGCCTCTTGTCAGCTCCCCACTCCTGGTCAGAATAAGGCAGGCTTTCTTGTAGATCCTCGTGGCCCTTTGTGCACATTGCAATGACAGAAAAAAAAATGTGTTTGCAAGGCAAGAGAAATTATTTGTGCATTTTACTCCAAAACATGGGCTTCCCTGAAATAGCACATTGTCCGATCCTTTTTAGAACCAATAAATGATTGACAATGAAGTATAGAAGGATTCCATAAAGTCCAGGTACTTTGATAACACACAAACAAAACAAACAGAGCTAGTTGAGATGAGACCCATTTCTTTCTTTCTTTTTTTTTTAGACAAAGTCTCGCTCTGTCACCAGGCTGGAGTGCAGTGGTGCGATCTCGGCTCACTGCAACCTCCATCTCCTGGGTTCAAGTGATTCTCCTGCCTCAGCCTCCCGAGTAGGTGGGACTACAGGCGCGTGCCACCATGCCCAGCTAATTTTTGTATTTTTTAGTAGAGACAGGGTTTCATCATGTTGGACAGGATGGTCTTGATCTCTTGACCTCGTGATCTTCCCTCCTCGGCCTCCCAAAGTGCTGGGATTACAGGCATGAGCCACTGCGCCCGGCCGAGATCATTTCTTCTTGTAACCAGAGCAACCACATCCTGAGCACTCACTACTCTTTAGGAGTTAGCAAAGGCCACTGGTTAAGGGTACAAGATTAAACCTGCATGCAAATCATAGTACCACACTCTATGTGCTGTGTAATCTTGAACAAAGCTCTTCTAAAATGCTCTGAATCTCATTTTTCTCTTCTATAAGAGAGGGATCATAACATCTGCCTCACAATGTCATTATAAGGGGCCAATGTGAAAAGCTTAAGGGGTTCCTGACATTCAAAAGTTAATTTATCCAGCAAATATTGATGGAGGGTCATCTACTAGGTGTTAGAAATACAGACCTAGCCCTTAATATCATGGTGCTTTTATTCTATAAGATAAATACTGATTAAATCATCACAAATAAATTATAACTGTGCTAAGTGTTTTGTAGAAGACTATGGTCCTATGGGGGTTAGGAATCAGACCTGCCTAGGAAGTGGGAAGTCAGGAAAATGGGGAAGTAACTGGAAGGGCAACAAAAGAGTGGAGAGTTAAAGAAAGAGTAGGTATCAACCAACTAGGTACAGAATAAACATCTCTGAGCAGAAAGATTGGCCTGAGTAAGGAGGGGTACCAAGGGAAAGAGGATGGTATGGCAGAGCAGGGCACATGCAAGAAATCATAGGAAAAGCAGACGGCTTGAATGATGAGATCTTAGGGGAACATGACTCTGAGGTGGCCAAGTGGCAGCAGGAGCCACACCATGCAGAAACTTCTAGACCATGTTCTCAGAGCAATGGAAAGCCTTGGAAGAGTTCTAGCATGCACTGATCAGATCATGTTTACTTCTTAAATACATCATTCTAGCAGCATGCCATATGGAGAACAAGGCAATGGGAAGTGGGGAGAGATAGTTAAGTGAACATGACACTTGTCCAAATGAGACACAAATGGTCATTTTGGCTAAGATATTGGCAATGAGATGGGGAAAGTGGGAGGATAGTGCTTAGTCAATGTTATATAGATCATAACTTGCTTTTTTATTACAGACATTGCATATATTATCTCATGTAATCATAAAATCCCAGTACAGAAGGTCACTGGTCATGTTTAGCATACACAAACAGTCTCAGAGAAGTCATGTGGTTTGTCCAAGGTCACACAGTTCACACAGTGGGCCATAGGTTTGACTTCAAAGCACGTTGTACTATCCCAGCCTGCCTTTGGATGATCAGACTAGTCCACAAAATTAGTAATGCCTTTAAAAATGGCACCACATGAGTTAAAAATGTAACTACAAAAAAGAGCAGAACGTTGGTTCTTGTTTGAGCAAAATAATGTGTGTGTTTTTCTTTTTTCTTTTTTTTTTATAAAAAAAAACACCTTGATATAAAATCTATGCCACAGGCTGGCTATGGTGGCTCACGCCTATAATCCCAGCATTTTAGGAGGGATTGTTTGAACCCAGGAGTTTGAGACTAGCCTAGGCAACATGGCAAAGCCCCATCTCTACCAAAAATATAGAAAAATTAGCCTGGTGTGGTGGTATGTGCCTGTAGTCCCAGCCACTGGGGAGGCTCAGCTGAGAGGTTCACCTGAGCCTGGGGACATCAAGGCCGGAGTGAGCCGCAATTGCACTCCAACCTAGGCAACAGAGTGAAAGTCTGTCTCAAAAAAGAAGAAAATAAAATCTATGCCACAAACGCACACAATCATTTCAGAGTTCCACAGTAACTTTGAGACACAGGTCATCTGAATGCTTAGGTACATAGATCAAGAGGTATAAAAACATGCATATCCATATCCATTGATAACTTGTCAAACTCAAAAATGTAAAACTCCTGATAGCCAATACTTTTGCCACTCATGCCCCTAAAACTATGCTCTTTAATAGTCTCTTATCATCATACTTGAAAATAAATGCATCCGTTACTCACTTGTGTGCATATTCAACCAAAATATTTGGTAGTTGTATTTACACACATAGGTGTTAAGCGAATATAAAACAGTCAAAGAATCACTTTTTGTTTAAAACAAAAACAAAAACGGTCAATCCTAAGTACCTAAGGAGTTCTGTAGCAATTCCAGAGAGGAAGCATCATCTCATCTAAATTTCTTACCCCATCCCCTAAGACCACCATCTTTCTTTTGCCCCAGGAGTCACCAATCCAAATGCTTGCAGAGGCCATTTGGAGAAAGTAAATGAATACAACAGGCTGTGGGGGTAAGGGCTGTTATGAACTAGCAAATGACAACTGGGATGAATTAAAACAAACCTACACACACACACAGACTTGAGGACTCCCAAGTAACTTTGGCCAAGGGCCAAAATTAGCCCACAGAGCCCTCAGTGTTTGCTACTCTACAAAGAAAGATCCCTAACTGCTCAAACATTATTAAATGTAATGTACTTTTTAAATATCTATTTTATGATATAAAGCATGGCATGTTTTAGAAATTCTCATTCTTCTGGGAAACTGCCATTTTAAGATGCTGTTCTATAAATACAGACTAGAAAGAGGACCCTTAGAGAAATCTGGTTCTTCATATACTAATTAAAAGGGACAAATAGAGGTTATTTTTTTCTTCCCAAATTAAATGCATCCTTTCATGCATCTCCAGGGTGGCTCCTTTTAACTATCTATGAGATAAGGGAAAATTATATACGGAATATGCAGGCTCTGGTCTCTGTTTAAACAAACTCTCTCCCCTATGGAATGACAAGATGCAAAGGAATGAGTAATGCATTAACTTTCTGTACATTCGTAGAACAATCCACCCACAACAAAACTATTATTTATGTAAATGGTGTAAAAATATCTTTTCTATTTGCAGCACATCTGTACATTCATTTTGAAGGCATTTGATTACACAAAATTGTTACAAGTGCCCAGATTCTAAAGGTAACAGTGAAGGTTTGTTTCATAACTTGCTTGTTAGGCTCCTAAGACTCTTCACCTCCCCAGACAGACTAAACTTTTAAACTAAAAGTTAGTTTAAAAGTTGAAATCATTTTAGAATCTTTAAATGGAAAAAAAATGGATGTATTACTTTTCTCAGACAAACAACAAGAATGATTCATAAAGAAAGCAGTGACAACTAAAGTCATTACAGCTTCAACAAAAGCAAAGCACATTTGCTTTAAAACTTGATTTAAAATCAGCTGAATCTTAAATAAGCTATGAGTCTTGCAGATTGATCAAATTCCATAATTGTGGAATGTGCAGGTTTTGGTAAAGAGTCTGCCAAAATATTTCTTGATAAATGAATGAACAAGATGGGGAAAATGTGGGATAGATTACAGTGAGATTAGGATAGTAAATGTACACCAAGTCAACCCATGACAAAGAACTTACTTCCATTCATGAATGATATAAAATTGAAGAGATTAAAGAATGAAGGAATCTCTTGCAGTCAGCCGTAAGGCTCTGTCTGCTGCCTTCCCTTTTTGGCTGCCCCCCTTTAAATACATTTTAATCGAAAACTACAAAAACGTCTGAAATCAGTCATGCTTGTCAAATGTGTGCACATTACAAGTTTAATACACTGAATGAAATTCTTGAGTTTCAAATGTATGTAAATAGACAAGATTATAGGGCCAATAACAATAAATGCTTGACAAGGATATACATGTGTTTCTGCTCTAAGTTCAAAACCGAATCAACTGTATAATCATATGCCAGAGAAGTAATCTGATAGTTCTTCAGAAAAAACTAAGAGTTATACCTTGATGTCAAGCTCCTCTTCCATTGCAAAGGAGTAAATAGCATGAAGTAGAGGGAGTAGCATGTGTTTTAGTAATTGATACATCTCCAGGCCTTGATACTTGCAAGCTGTGTGTCCCAGAACTTAAATTAAGTCTTAGTTCACCCCTCTATAAAAATCTCAATAATAATTACCTCTTAAGGAGTAACAAGGACTAACATTAAATATAATAATAATATTAACAATGACAGTAACATCTATCACTTATTTGAATCATTAATTGCTCTATACTATGTAAGTATTCTGCATGCATTATGATGTCTACTTACATCCCATCGCAGTGTTTGCCACATAGATTTCTAATAAACCACAGTTGTCATTATTAACTCCTAGCATTACCTGAGAAAATCATTCTCAAATGTTTGCATCCCCATAGCTCCTTACTCTCCTATTACTGCTCCAGAGACTTTTGCCATTGTGAGGACCAGTTTGATCAGAAGTCGTGCCTATGACTCACAGATCTTTTAAAATAGGACTTTTCTTTAGAACTACTATTTCTTTTCTCTCTTCATTCATGAGTCTCAGGAAGTATAGCACATCTTTCTCAATGGATGGTCACATGTGCCTCTTGATCTTCATCAGCTTGGGCCATGATGGACAATGACTTTCAGTCTCTTTGTGGTGTCCCCCAAATGAATTTAATACATGTGACTTGGACTGCATGTTGTATCATATCATTCCAAACAGAGCCTCAAAATGTGTTGAAAATCCATTTCCCTGTTTTGGAGTGAGGTTGTAATGTAAATCAAAACTCTGACCACACCCCAGATTTGCTGAGTGAGACCTCTAGGAGTGGGGCTCAGCAATTTGTACTTGAAAAAGCTTTCTAGGTGATTCTGATGTGTGCTAAAATTTGAGAACCATACGCCTCAGGTATGTCTGTGGTAGTAGTCAGATTAGGTAGGATAGAGAACAAGATCACTGAAGGAGAGTACAAGGAATTGATCAGGATATTATATAAATTATCTATATAAATATTTCAATCATCAAGAAATGTGGCCAGAGTAGTTTTAAGGAAAGAGAGAGAGTCAATCAGAAGCAAAAATCTTTAAGAATTTAGGAGGAGGCATGACCTAAGGGTTTCTAGATTACCATAATAAGAAAGGGTAGTTGGTAACACAGTCTAGTGGTTTGAACTTCAAATCAAACAGTACAAGGGAAGGTCTTTGTGGCCGGAAGAAACCAAAAAAAAAAGAAAAAAAAGAAACAAGAAAAAAACAAAGGTCAGCAGCCCTGGTCAGAGTTGGAGTGTGGTATAAGATAAGATGGAAAGGTAGGGAAAGGATTTGATTCTTACCCTAAGGCTAATTGAATATAGTGGAATAATTTTAAGGTGGTCAAAAATGACAGGTTCAGATTTGCCTTTTCTGAAATGTTATCCTAGCAACAATGTGCAGATAGAGATAAATGGTCAGGCTATTAAATTTTTTAGGACCCTGGTTGATTAGAAGAGATAGGGTGAAATCTTGAGAAACGTCAAGGATAATCTCAGATTTCTGTTTGCACAACTGGTGCCATTTGGCCAAGACAGATAAGGGGGGAGGAGCATCAGGAGCTAGGAAAACAACTCAAAGATTTCCCATAAATATTATCTTATCATAATCTGACAGCATGGAATATGACAAGCACTACTTCAGCTATAGCTACCTTATGTTGAAAGAAGACTGTGGAGCCAGGATTTTGAGGTTCAAATCCTAGCTCTACCACTTTGTAGCTGGCAGTTCTTGAGCAAGTTAGTTCACCATCTCATCTTTAAAGTGGAAATAATAAGACTGACTTCATAAGTGAGAATAAAAGGTCCCTATCCTCCAACAAAAAGACTGATAGTTCTGCAGCTATCATCACAAGAAACTGGTTTTAAACCTATACAAATTGATCAATGACAGCTTTGTATGAGTACACAAGTTTCTAAAAGCCAGCTAATCGGTGACACTCCTTCTGAAAGTCAATCAATTCCAGAAACCTCACTTCCACAATTAAAGGGCAACCAGATTCCAAAACCCTCTGCTTCTGAAAGTCAAGCCATCCCTGAACCCCACTTACTGTGTTCTATTCCTATTCTGTCCTCCAGGCCTCCCACTCCATTAACCTACATTACATTTTGTTTAAATTTCTTTCCTTTTAAATTTATCTTAGAATATGTTGTGTTACCTTATATATATAAACCAGAAAAGTAGTATTGTTTTTATCAAAATTCAAAATGTTATTATAACATAAATAATATCATACTGTTAGAGTAGGCAGGTGGCCAGACATGAGCAGGGTGGAGAGCCCCTGGAGGAGGAAGCTCTGGAAAATCTCACACCCCAGAGACCACCCAAAACATTCATGCTGGATATGAGCAGAAAGGAGGGAAAATGCCTGTGCAGAAAAGAATGCCCCAAAACACCCTTAAGACACCCAGTAATTGCTGACTCTGCAGTTAACCTGTCAGAATGTGGCCAGCTACATCCTGATAAAACGGGAAGAAGGGCAAAGGGGAAATTCCTAAGAGATACACAGGCACAGTAAGTACAGATTTAACTGCTATATGACCTTCCTGGGGTGGCAGTAATGAGCATTCCCTCCATTAGGGAGGATTCCTATTGATCACTGGGCCCACAAATACACATCATCAAGGGGCAGGAAGGAAGATTCCTACAAACAGGGGCAGGAACTAGGTGGGCAGATGGCAGAGACTTAAGACAGAAGCTGGAAACTAGACAAAAGCAGAGACTTAAGACAAGAGACAGGAACTTGAAGAAAGAGTCTGACATCATAAAAACCCACAACACAGAACTCTCAAGGCTATTGGCTAATTCTCTTTTGAGCAGCCTGCTCTGACTTGTCTTTCAGAGTATACTGTCTCTTTAAATAAACTCTACTACTACATAACCCTGGCTGCTACTGTCAGCCCACTCCTCTCCTGGAGTGTTCTTTTTTTTTGAGACAGGGTCTTGCTCTGTCACCCAGGCTGGAGTACAGTGGCTGGACTGTACTCTTATTTCCTTAATAAACCTTTTGCTTGCTTTACAATTGGTCTCTTGGCTGAATTCTTTACTCCAAGAAGACTAGACCCGAGGACACTCACACTTCTCAGTAACAATACCATAATTTACTTATTATTATCCAATATTTTGATCCTAATGTTCATCTTTAGGTTAGTGTATGCAGTTGTATCCCATTCATTCTCTCTGTTTTGTAATCCATTGAATATTCTACAACTTGCTGATTCACTCTCCTAATGATGGACATTTTATTTTGGTTATTTCCATTTTCTTGCTATTATAAACAATGTTTTTATAAATATTTCGGTATGTGTCAACTGCAGCACATGTGCAAGAATATCTGCAGTGTGTACACACAGGAGAGGATTTTCTGAGTCACAGAGTAGGCCAATGTTTTATTTCACAAGAAAATGCCAAAGTATACTCCTAAATGTTGGAGAATTTACATTCCCCAAAGCAATGTATTGCAGTTCATTCCAACACTTTGTACTTTCAGACTTCTTAATTTCTTCTAATCCAGTGAGTATAAAAGATATCTAATTGATGTCTCATTTTGCATTTCCCCAAGTACTAATAAGGTTGTACAACTGTTCATGTTTTTCCTTTTCTTAGTAAACTTTGCCCATTTTCCAAGAGGTTGTTTATCTTTTCTTAATGTTTTGTAGTAGCTTTTTATATATTCTACTCACAACTTCTTAATCCTGTGTTGTCAAAAAAAAAAACTTTTCAGTTTGTAACTTCTCTCTTACTTTACATGTCTTTTGAAGAAAAAAATATTAAATAAAAGATTGGTAAAGGCAATGGTTTTCTTTGAAGTATGTAATAAAATTAACAATCCTTTAATAAGATTGATGAGGAAAAAAAGAGAGAAATAGAAAGGGAGAGAGAGGAAGACAGAAGACAAATGGCCAGATTATAGAGTATCTTAGGAGATTAGGATTCTGCATTTGATTAGCTACCTGCTTTTATTATCCAATATTTTGTTTTACTCCAAAATATTACACAAGTTAGAACATTATCATAATATCATATTATATGGACAATGT
Organism: Homo sapiens; assembly: GCF_000001405.40. Taxonomy (NCBI): domain Eukaryota; kingdom Metazoa; phylum Chordata; class Mammalia; order Primates; family Hominidae; genus Homo; species Homo sapiens. The sequence goes on along the minus strand of NC_000005.10, from coordinate 155,745,284 downwards.
TTAAACTCACTCACATTTTTACCAGTTTATTTTACCAACCATTCCTTCTATATCAGCCTTCTGGGATTATTTTCTTTTGTAAGTGCAGTCTCTACAAGTTTCCTTAGTAAAGATTTCTTTCTGTGGAAATGTGTTTATTTTTTTCCTATTATTAAAAGGAAAACAATTTCAGCATGCCAGTTATTTTGTCTCAGGGCTTTGAAGACATTATTCCAGATCTACTTTCCTCCACTGCTGCCATTGAACAGCCTGCTGTCAGTATTACTCATGGTTCCTTTGCAGGTGGATCTGTCTTTGCTCTCTGAATGCTTCTAAGACCTCCTCTTTGTGGTTTGTATCTACAATTTCACTACAATTTGTCTATATGTGGATTCACATTTTATTCATCTTATTTGAACTTCCTATATTTGCAAATTAACATCATTCATCGGTTTTAGAAAATAGCCATTATCTCATCAAATGTTGTACCTCTTTTATTTGCTCTTTTTCTGGGATTCTGATTAAACATCGAACAAACTTTTCAGTTTATCCTTTCTGTCTCTCCACTTCTCTCCCATATTGTCCATTTCCTTCTCTCTTTGTGCTGAATTCTGGGGTAATGTCTTCCTGTTTATCTTCCTCCAACTTCAGCTGTGTCTACAATGCTGTTTTTCCTAACCAGTTCAGGGTTTATTCTACCAATACTGTCTTTCAAAAAGTTCTAACAAGTTCTTTGTAAAATCTTCCTAATCATTTATTATGGTCTTTTATTGTATGGTCATATTTTAAATAATTGCTTTTTACTCCTTCAAATGTTCATTTATTTTATTTTATTTTATTTTATTTGAGTTGGAGTCTTGCTCTGTCGCCCAGGCTGGAGTGCAGTGGCATGATCTCAGCCCACTGCAACCTCCACCTCCCAGGTTCAAGCGATTCTCCTGCCTCAGCCTCCTGAGTAGCTGGGATTACAGGCATGCGCTACCACACCTGATTAATTTTTGTATTTTTAGTAGAGATGAGGTTTCACCGTGTTAGCCAGGATGGTCTCAAGCTCCTGACCTCGTGATCTGCCCACCTCGGCCTCCCAAAGTGCTGGGATTACAGGCGTGAGTCACCACACCTGGCCCGCTCCTTCAAATGTTCATACACAGTAATTTCATATTCTCTGATAACTCTAATACCTGAAAATCTTAGAAGTTGAAGTCTGTTTTCTTTCTGATATCTGATTTATATTGGCTGGTTTTCATGTGTATTTTTGTCATCTTTAATTGTGGGATTCCTGTAGGCCTAAACAGGAAATGCTTTCCTCCAAAGAAGATTTACTATTGCTTTTGTTGGAAGCCAAAGAAAGCTACCAACCAAGGGACACTTGGTCCTCTTCTAGGTCCTGAGTTCTTGCAGGAATCTTGGGTTCAGATTTCTTACTTTCTGGCTCACAGCTAGCTTGCTCAAGGCTGATTCTTAGACGCAGCAATATATGGGTATTTGCAGTTAGAACAATTTTGGTTTTCCTCATCTGCTCCTTGCTCGGCACTTCCCACTTTGGCTTCAGTTCAAGGTTTGTTTTATTTTAAGGTGGTGTTTGCACACATAGAGGGATGGAGATTTTCTTTACTTGCTCCAGGCCTAGCAGTGCATTGAAACCCAGGTTTAACTATAGTTTAGGTGTTTTGTAGCATACAGGACCATTGAGGTAGTCTGTCAAGTGAAAATATAGAATATTTGTTTTTAATTTATTGTTGTAAGATTTCAGGTGATGCAATCAGGGTCATAAAACTTTTCACTGTTCTCTGATGACATGTTATACATTTCACCCAAATACATTGCTCTTAGTTTGTGTTATTGTGACATAATGGGAAATATATATTTGGTCTCTGACCTGTTTTCTGAGACAGTGATCCTAAAATTCTTGTAGACTGAGGAGCTAGAAGAATCTTTTGTTGTAATATTGGTCTTTGAACTTAGTTCCTGACACAGAGCTCCTAAGACTTTTGTAACTTCCCGGTGATAGGAGCATCTTTTGTTCTAATGAGACTTTGTTGTGCTCCTGGATAGCCTCAGCATGGGGGCTGGTTGCCAGAGGTCTCAACTATGTGATTGTAGGGTTGAGCCTTTATAATCACATGGAAAGGAGATGAGAGAGGCTGAGTTGATCATCAATGAACAATGATGTAAACAATCATGACTACCTAAAAAAGCTTCCATAAAATTCCAAAAGGACTAGGTTCAGAGGGCTTCAGGATTGAACACATGAAGATTCCTGGAGGATGGTACACCTAGAGAGGGCAAGGAAGCTCCGTGCCCCCAACCAAACCTTACACTATGTATCTCTTACATCTGGCTGCTCATCTGTATCCTTTGTAATATCCTTTATAACAAACCAGCAAACAAATGTTTCCCTAAGTTCTGTGAGCCTCTTTAGCAAATTAATGAAATCAGAGGAGAGGGTAATAGAAACCCAATCTATAGCTGGTTGGTCAGAAGCACAAGTCACAACCTGAAGCTTGTGATTGGCATCTGAAGTAGCAGCAGTCCTGTGGGACTGAGCCCTTAACTTGTGGGATCTGACACTACCTCCAGGTAAATAGTGAGAACTGAATTATAGGACACCCATCTGGTATCTGCTGGAGAATGGCTTGCTTGGTATGAGGTGGGTGGGGGGAACCACAAACATTTTGGTGACTGAAGGTAATCTACGTTGAGGCTTGTAACGTCTGAACGTGGAAGGAAAAACATTTGCTTTTTTCCTACCTCAAACATTGATACTCACTTCCTTCTCTGAATCCTCATGGGTTCATTGTCTCTATCATCCAGTATAAGTCTTAATCACATTTAATAGTTTATCAATCTCAGTCTGCCCTGGGTAAGTATTTACTGCTTCTGCATTCCCCAAGGACAGAAAGCATTGTCTTTACATGTCTTTTATTCTCCCAGGAACCCAAGGACAAAAGGTCCTTGATCAAAAATGATTATTGGTAATTTCATTGTGTGGAAAAAAGTGCATACAATTGAATTAAAAATAGAATTTTTGACAACAAGCAATAAAGGTGAGGAGTAACTATAGACCTTCTCTTTTTCCAAAATAATGTATCTATTTATCATAAGTAAAATCAACAATGAGAATTATAAACACCTAACACCCTTCTTAAAACCCTAATTTAAGCCTTTTCTGTAAAACTTCCCAAGTGAAATGGGAGGGAAAATGTTATCATCACTGACTTTGTATACCAAAAATAAACTTCTAAGCCCCCTAACCAACTGAATGGAGCCCTCTTCTCAGCCAAGGGCATTCCAAAGTAAACCCGAAAAACTACTTCTGGTGGCCAGGCACAGTGGCTCACGCCTGTAATTCCAGCACTTTGGGAGGCCAAGGCAGGTGGATTTTCTGAGCCTAGGAGTTCGACACCAGCCTGGGCAACATGGCAAAACCCTGTCTCTACCAAAAATTAGCTGGGTGTTGTGGCACACATCTGTAGTCCCAGCTACTTGGGAGGCTGAGGCATGAGAATTGCTTGTACCCAGGAGGCAGAGGTTGCAATGAGCTGAGATCACACCACTGCACTCCAGCCTGGGTGACAGAGCAAGACTTAGTCCCTAATTAAAAAAAAAAAAAAAAAAGAAAAGAAAAGAAAAACAAAAAGAAACCTACTTCAGGCCATGATGGGAAAGTGGTGTGGGGGTCAGACATGCTTCATGATAACCTTCTCCCTTTGGAATTCAGGCACAACTGACCAGCATTACCATTAAAACAGAGACCTTAAGAGTAACCAAATAGATTCTTTCTAGAAATAAGATACCAAATTCCAACCTGACTTTAGTATAGCATCACATGACAGATAGTAGGCCCTGAAAGAAAAAGAAGTGCTTTACCCCAAAACATATTTCTTTGAAATATTTGGAAATGGCCCCGCAAAACTCTCTCTTACAGGGAAAAATCCACATTCTATAGAGAATTCCCTTCTTTTTCCAGGTCTTTTCCTGATCCAGGAGAGATTTAACTAAGACTGTGGCACCTTTTAGGGTCTGATGAAAGACATTTACCATTTATTTTCTCTGAAGCTTGCTACCTGGAGACTTCATCTAAATAATAAGAACCTTGTCTTCCACAACCCCCCTTAACTATAAACATTTCTTTCTGCTGACTTCAACTCTTCAGGCAGAGATGAACCCTTTCAACCAATTGCCAATCAGGAAATCTTTAAACCCACCTTTAAACCCAGCCTCCACTTCAAGATGTCCCACCTTTCCATGTCAAACCAATGTATACCTTACATGTATTGATTTATGCCTCTGCCTGTGACTTCTGTCCCACTAAAATATATACAAACCAAGCTATAACCCAACCACTTTGGGCACATGTTCTCAGGACCTTCTGGGGCTGTGTCATGAGTCGTGGTCCTCACATTTGGCTCAGAATAAATGTCTTGAAATATTTCACAGATTTGACTCTTTTGTTGACACCTTGAAGGAAAACAAAACTCTTAATTTTGCATATAATAAATTACACTTGTTTCTGGATGAATATTTTTCTCTATCACACTCCAAAACAAGAGACAGCAACCAGTGATGTATTTTTTACTTCAGGTTTCAAAACCAAAACAGACCTAATGATACAAACACAATCCCTCAGTGAATAAAATTACAAAGAGTATAGCTGCTCAAGACCAATTTGTAATCAGAGCATCAAGCCATACTGTACGAAAATGTCAGTTCTGGCACAGCCTTGATGAGCTAAGATTGAGCGCATGGGCCAGTTTATCATATTATCCTGACTGCCCTCTTTTAAAGCTGGCAGGCCCAATTTGAGTATAAAAAGGATTTCAGTTTGAGTGATTTTTGCATCTGAAAAAGAACCACCCAGACTAATAATGCTTTTCATTGCTATTTTTTTCCTAACAGAAATAAATGCAAGGAAAACATTCAATATAAATATTTTCTCAACATCAAGTGGTCCTAGATATGTTTCTACAACACTTTTCACTATAATGTATAAAAATAAAAATCTTGCTAAGAGTTGAGAGATACTTTTGTTCCTAAAAATAGGCAGGGCATGCTGGCTTCTGTCTGTAGTCCCAGCTACTCAGGAGGCTGAGGCAGGAGGATCACTTAAGCTCAGGAGGTCGAGGTTGCAGTGAGCCATGATTGTGCCAGTGCACTCCACCCTGAGTGACAGAGCAAGGCCCTGTCTCTAAAATAAACAAATAAAAACATATGTCATTCAATAAAAATATATGAATGCATTTCAAACATTTGGATGCAGTTTCCTTTTATTTCTGTTTGAGCTAGTGGAGGTTAATAATGGGGAAATCACAGCAGAAGCTTCTTTAAGGTAGGGCAGGGAGGCAGAATTGTCTAGTAGTAATTCCCCATGCTATAATTTCAATTATTCTACTTCCATCAAAATAAATGGTATTAAAATGATAAAAATCTATAAGTTTAAATATAAACTCAAATCTCCTTCCTACTTGAGATGATATGGAAATTCCCAGCAAGTTTTAAAACTTGCTCCTTTAACAAATTTCACTGAGTTTTCTGCCCACTGGTCAGGATAGAGCTGCCTCAGTCTCTTCCATCATTTTTACACTAGCCAAACTAAAGCATTCACTTCTTTATTCAAGTGTATGTTCCTTGACTGAATAAATGTTTACTGGGTATATTTACACTTTTTTCAAACTCACCAGGATTATAGGCAACAGAGTTTCTCTAAAATATCCTAAATTCTGTAATGGAAAGTGTATTTTCTTATAATTTAACAACAGCCATAGAGCTTTCTTTAAGCCTTCTACAGAACCCTAGCTGAGGCAGGTTAGATGGAATATTTCATTTTTATTACATGGTTATACATTACCCTTAAAGCAGCTCTCTTAGGAATCAACAGCCCTCCCCTACCACCTACTCACCCACTGTATTCCTCTGCTTTCAGCCCCACTGGCTTCCACGCTGGTTCTCAACTGTGAAACTCACAGTCCCACATCACAGCCTTTGTACTTGCTTTTCCTGCTGCATGGAAAGATCTTTTAGCAGATACTTGCTGGACAACATCCAGCTTTGGTCGCAATTACACACAATTATTTATCATTCTCAACCTGTTCTGGGTAAATAAGTGCTGTCTCCATATTCTTCAAGGGCAGGGACCATTATCTTTACTTGTCTCCTCTCTTTCCAGCATCCCAAAGTTAAAATAATCTCAACAAATAATTGTTGGTGATTTTGTGGTGTGAAAAAAAGTTCATACAATCTTAAAAACTGAATTCTTGAAAACATGCATAAATGAGGTACAATTTGGCTTTTAATTTAGTGAAGCCTTCCCTGGCCCCATGTTTCCTAATATTTTTTCTCTCTTTCTCTCTCTCTTTCTCTCTCACACACACTCTCTCACACGCAAACACACTCTCACATACTCTCTCACACACTCACACACACTCTCTCTCACACGCACTCACACACTCTCATATACATACTCTCTCACAGTCTCACACACACTCTCACACACTCTCTTACACACACTACATGCACACTCACACACATTCTCTCACACTCTCACACTCTCTTACACTCACATGCACACACTCTCTCACACACACTCTCTCACACTCACACACTCTCATATACACTCTCACACACACACTCTCCTACACACACACACTCTCTCACACACACACACTCTCACAGACTCTCTCTCTCAGAGGCAGGCCAGCTCCAGAATCTAGCTTCTTAATCATTACACTTTATCACAGCCAAATAAATCTCAGTACATTTATATAATGGTACATTATGCAGCTCAGAAAAATAATGAGGCAGCTCAATGGAAGCATACATGAACAGTCCCCAAGATGTATCATTTACATAAACAAACAAGGTACATTATGTGCTGTCACTTGTGTAAAAGAGGAAAAACATGCTTTTTGTCCACCTATATCTTTGGGAGGATGCAGAAGACACCGGAAACATAGTTGTACCAGGAAAAGGGGAATTAAGGACTTGGGATCAGGGATGAGGGCACATTTACTTTTTACCATTTTGTATTGTTAGGCTTTTTAACATGCACAAGTAGTGTTAAATAAATTAAAAATCACCATCTCAAAAAATTCTGCCCCCAGTTCAAGTAGTCATCCGAGTTTCCAGAAAGGGTTGTTCATACATTGGGTATGGCAAACTGGGCTCTACATTCAGTCCTTATGTTAATGCCTTTAAACATGTGAGTAATGCCCTCTGGGTTGAGGAAGGAGAAGTGGTCCAGAGAGAGACATATAGAGGGATTAAGGGCACTCAAGTTGGCATCAATGCTTCTTCCCTCGTCCAGGATCTATTCCCTAATTATTCAATCAAAAGAGTCTGCAAGGCTCACAGAAAAGCCAGAGGGCCCTCAACACCATCCCAGCTCCCCCACTGTCCCATTACACCACAGGTTCCCACCGCCAAACCCATATATGGCAAATTAACCTATCACTTAAATCTCACTAAAAAATGCTACATGGGGGGAATGGAGGTCAAAGTCAAAGGGAATATACTATGAGTGATCAATGACAACAATCTGCTGACAGACTGAAGCTCAGTCATGACCCAGAGGCCACGGTCAAGGGTGCTCTCACTCGCAGGCATGAGTGGGTGTCATGAGCCTGAGTTCTACACTGGCTCTGCCACTAGCCTGTCATGGGATCTTGAACTAGGAAAAACAGCTCTGCCTCCCAATCCTTACTTTCTCCATCTATAAAAATCTGTAGTGTCAGACTAGGTAAGTGTTTTTCACAATGTGCTTTCCAACCCATGAGTGTCATGAAATCAATTCTGAGTGCCATAGCATGATTTCTTTTTAATGAATGGGAATAGAATGGAAAGTATCAGACTATACTGTCTATAGTAAGAGTATGATTTTTCAAAACTTTTATTTCAATGATATGGGTGAATATATTGTGTCTCCACATGTAAATGTGCAAGTAAATAATAGGATAAAGCAGAATAGAGGATATCATTAAATTACCCATAGTAAGGGTAAGTGTTATATTTTTTGAAACTTTTGTGTCAGTTGCATGTGGGGTATATACTGATGACATAAAATACCTTAATGTATTTATCTTAACGTACCTCATAGTCGTTTGCAAGCCATAGAAGAAGATATTCTCCAAGCTCTTTTCAAGCTCATTGTTTTATAAGTAAATTGGAGACAATATTACCTAGTAAAGTTTGAAAATAAGGAAGTCTGGATTCAAAGCCCTGTCCTGCCATTTAGAGCAGTGAGGATCAGGTGCAAGTTAACTTGCCCAACCCTCAGCTTGCTGTGCGTTCTCTAAAGATCCCACTTAGAGACGTGAATGTTTGGGAATAGGGAAAAGGAAAGAGCACTCACTTTTCCTCCTGCCCTTCTACATTGCTTTCCAGTATTTTCCTGATCCGACTATCACCTTTTCTCTATTCTGGTTAATCCCGTCGTTATTTTTGTCATCTCTGTGGTGATTTATTAATTCCTCTACCCATAACCACAACATCAAGTTACTGGAAATATGAGATGAGAAAAATACATGTACATAACTTAGAACCATGTTGGCACATAGTGGATACTCAATAAATGGCAATAGTAACAGTAGCAAAAGTAGGAGGAGGAGGTGGTAGTGGTGGTGGTGGTAGCAGTGACAGTAATATTTATCCTCAATGCCCATTAAAAGGTGAGAAGATAGGGTGAGATATTAGGTCTAGTTATTAACAATATCCTACTCAGGAAATTTTGCATTTCAATAAAGGACCATAGAAAACATTAAATTATTTGAAGGCCTAAAGAATTAGCATGCAATGGAGGAATTTTAAGAAACCTATGAGATAGGAAAGGGAGCAATTTGTTATGGTGTTAGGGGAATAAAGAGAGGTACCTCTGCCTTGCACTTGACCCTTAGATACCAAATCAGAAAATAACACCAATAATCTCAGCCTGATTATGGTAGAAGGGCAAAGTGAATCATAATCTGGGCCTTCTTTCCTTGAATAATCAGAGTCTTGTTAGTTTGGGTTAGTTTGGTAAGCTTTTTGGGATGCAGGGAAGATGCGAGGTTGAGATATTTCTTCTGCCTTGTCAGCTCTGATTATAATGTTTTCAAAGGAGCATGTGCGATATATTACACCGATGATCTGTGTCTTACTGTCTCCATAATATTGACACCATGTGATAAAGATCTGTGTGTTAACAATGTCAAAGTACACTGCACATGTTTCTGTGTCTGAGGATGTAGTTAGGCTGATCCATTTGGTCATACTCCAAAGCATCCCAGGGGTAGAAAGAAGGATCCCAAGGTGACTGCTTCCCATCTAAAAAAGGGTTAAGAAGAAAGAGGAGCATCATCTGATCATGACTTTGCCAATGACCCTGTGCCAGGGGATTGGCAATGAACATCCATACATCTCTAATTCTTGAAATATCACATACAAGAACATCAAAGGAGGATCCTACTCCAGACACATTTTCTTGTTTGAAAACTAGACTGTGAATCCAAAAAGCCCATAAAACCTTATGGGCTAGGACCTGCCAAGATGCTCTCCAACAAACACCCTTGACTATAGGAGTTTGCCCGATCAGTAAATAATTTCAGGTCTGCTTCTCTCGTTTTCAGCAAGAGCTTCATCTGGGAATTGTGCTGTTGCAGGCTGTGTATCTACCTATGCTTGCAAGCCTGCCTTCAAAGCAAACAAGTAGCTCACCAAGCATGTGTTAATCACTCTCAGCAGGCATTAAGAGTCCTGGGCCAGCAGCCAGAAACCACTGGCATTCACACTGGCTGTGGCACTAACTTGCTGGATGACCTCAGGCAAGTCCCTTTCCCCCTCTGAGCCTCAGTTTCCTCATCTCTTCTTCAAACTGATTGGACTAGATTATCTCTAACCTTGGTTCTCACTCCTGAAAGCCTATTAGTTTTTCAAACTTTTGGGCTGAGAATCAAACGTGTCTTTCTGAGCAACTAATTAGATGTACAGATAAAATCACATTAACTTATAAATCAGAATGTCCCTTCTAATTACATCTTAAGCAACATCACAAAGAAACTTGCCCAAAGCTACCAACATAGTTAATCAACAACTACTGATACCATTACATGCCTATGTGAAGAACTGGAGCCTCTAGGGACGCATTAGACCTCATGGCTTTCAACTCCTATGTTTGGATGATTTTTCTTTTAGCATTTAAGGACAATGGCCACTTTTTCTGAACCACATAGAATTAGCTCAAAGTTTCAATTAGTCATCCAAAAATGTTTTTGTGAGGTTTCTATATGTCAGGCACTGACCTGGGTGCTGTAGATCCAACTTCCAATAAAACCAGTCCCTTGATCTCAAGAAGCTTATATATAGACTGAATGGCAGATACAGAGAAGTAAACAGACAAGTATACTCCAGTTTAAATGGAGGAACACATTATAAAGACATCTAACACAGTCTTTGAGGACTCAAGGGAGATTTTTCCCAAAGAAGCAATATCTATGCTGAGACCTTATAAACAGATGGGAGTCAGCCAAGCAATTGCAGCAGGGGATGGATCTATGAAACATCCTAATTGCTAGAAAAGTAAAAGCAAATATTTGGAGGCGATTTCACCACCTAAAAATTATCCCCCAAAGTTCAAAAGATTCCCACTCTTCTCTTCAACATTCTCAGCAATGGGTTTTTAAAAATACAAACCAGAATGTGTTTCATATACAACAGTGTCTTAAAGTATAAGGACCAGTGACTCACAGCAATGCAATAGTAAGGGTATGGGGAGTTTAAAAAGGAGAGATCTGGATTCTGTCAGTCTGCTACTTAGAATCTGTGTGGGCCAAGTAGTGGCTCACACCTGTAATCCCAAAACTTTGCGAGGCCAAGGATGGAGGATTGCTTGAGCTCAGGAGTTTGAGACTAGCCTGGGTAACATGGCAAAACCTCCATCTCTACAAAAAAAATGCAAAAATTAGCTAGCTAGTCGTGGTGGTGCATGTCTGTAATCCCAGATACTCGGAAGGCTGCAGTGGGAGGATGGTTTGACCCAGGAGGTGGATGTTGCAGTGAGCCAAGATGGTACCACTGAACTCCAGCCTGGGCAACAGAGCCAGACCCTGTCTCATATAATAATATTAATTTATATTAATATAATTAATAACAGTAATATTATTAATTAATATAATAACAGTAACATTATTAATTAATATAATTAATATCAGTAACAATATTAATTAATATAATTAATAATATTATTATATTATATAATAATAATATAATAAATAAAAATAAAATAAAATAAAGAGAGAATCTGTGTGAACTGGCCAAATTGCTTAACCTTCCCAACATCAGCTCCTGGGTTAAATGGAACCTGGCACATAGCAAATATTTAACAAAAAGCAGTAAAAATGCTAGCTGACAGGTGCGCAGGACACCATGCTAAGCACTTCAATCATTCATCAAGGTAAATCCTTGCAACATAAGACAACCTATTACTGTCTTCAACTTGTACATGAAGAAATGGAGACTTGATGAAGTCAAATCACCAGACCAAAGTTATAAAAGCAAGGCAGGTGAGGGTAGGCCTTGACCCCTAGTTGTCTGCACTCGGGGCCCAACTTAACCATTAAGTGTTTCCTTTCAACTTTTACTTCTCCACTGCCAGTCATCCCAGGAAAGTAGGTTCTGACCACTGAAATGGCAAAAAAAAAAAAGTGTCCAGCATATTAATGAAGCCCTTTAAAAATATAAGGTATTCCTTGGTTTGTGTTCTATCCATAAATGACTGTGGTTATTTAAAATACATGTATCAGAGAGTTGCTTATCAAAGCTACCTAAGGCTCAATTACCACCCTTGAATAAGAGGTCAGGGTTAAAAGCAAAATATTCAAAAAGATAAATTTGGATCTGAAAAGGGAAAGATGACAAAACAGTTTGCTGGACAAGATGTCTGGTACCTTTGGCCACTTTTCAATGAAATAGAAGGGAAAAGATGTTGAGGTCACTGAGAAAACAATTTAAGTGGGCCAGAAAGAGACAGAGTGTGTGTGATAGCTCCTTTTTACTTGCAGAATGAGGCACTGATCTATTCTGAGGGAGTCAAAAGCTTAATAATGAAGGGGAGGAAAGGGGTGTTTCTTACACCACAGCTACATCCACTAAATTGGGACACTGAACTTGACACTTTTGACATAGTGACACATTGGCCCTGGCTCATGGCATCATTTTGTGTCAAGTATTAGTACAAATGCCGACACTCATGCACCGAAGGAGCATTTGATGTTTCCATAAGTGCTTTCCGACTTGGCACTGGGAAAAAAAAAAAAAAAAAAACGAGTATAACAAACATCACTGTGATTGCTATACTTCTCAAAGAGCTTGCAAAGTTGCCTCCAGGTGGACCTGCTTGTTTCCTTGCATATCAGTGGGCTGCAACACGCATGGAGTTTACTACTTTTTGTATTTCTATTTGGCTGGAAGCAGGAGGGACTCAGAGTTCTCCTCTTGAAGCTGTCTGGAAGGGATCCAGTGTTGGAATCCGGGAGTGAGGGAACAACTGGGGAAAATGGTAGTGTATAAATAGATGTAGGCTTGGGGCATGGGCTAAAAATATAGATCTCTGGCCTCTCTGCCCCAAGGTTTTGATTCAGTAAGCCTTTAGGGGAGTCCAGCAACTTGTGTTTTGACTAAGATGTAAGTGACCTTGATGATTAGCCACACATGACAACTACTGGTGTGGTGAGAAGAAGGCTGGACTGAGACTCCAGACTGGGTGCTGGTCCAAGTTCTGGCACCTACTGGTTATAGGATCTCTGGCAAGACACTTCCCAGTTTCTTCAGCTACTTTTGTTTTTCTCAAATGGTAGAGTGGGGAGGGAGAAAGCTTGGGAAAGATCTCCAAGGACTTTTGGCTCCATCAGCCTAGAATGGGGTGTTAGGATTAGCAGCTACCACGGTACATAATTAGGACCAGAGATCTTGAAGTCAACCACGCCTGGACTCAAATTTTAGCACTGTACTTTCTAGTAGTTAGACTGCTGACAACTAAAGTAATTTCTCTGAGACACATTATATAATTTCTCAAAGTCTCAGTTTCCTCAGCTAAAATGCAGATGATAATAACAGTGCCTGTGGCATAGCTTTCTGTGAGTTTTAAATGGGCAGATAGTACATGAAGAATGCTGAAGGCAATGCCCTGAGGAGTCCTCAGTACCTGTTAGTTGTGAAAGCCCCTGACAAGGTCAACCAGAGGAGCCATCTGCCTTCCCCTGGAACTACTGTGATTAATGAGGCTGATGAAGGTAACCCTGGCTGAGCAACTTCCTTGGGCTTCTCCTTTTATCAAGAGAAATTCACAAGAAATAAGCTTTTCTGGAGAGAATAGCATAAGAGAGAGAGGTGTTAAAGAGTATCTCTTACGAAGAAATCCAGAAACAAATTAGAGAAGGGTGCTATACCATCTACACCACGTGTATCAAAGCCTGGTTCAGGGACCACCTGCTTTAGAACCAACTGGGGCACTCAAAGTAGCACATTCCGGTCCCTATTGGAACAGGCTCCCAGGGGAGTGGGTCCAGTAGTCTGTATTTCTCGGAAGCTACTGAAGAGATTTTTCTAAAAACAAGGTTAGAGAATCATTGGCAAATATTGTCAGTGAGCCAACACTCTGCCTCAATTCTCCAACATGTATTTACCCAGAAAACTACAAACAAACAAAAACAATGACTACAAATGCATTTATGCATGTGTGCATTTACCAAGAATCTAAACTTCCTACACTTGTGTCATCTCCAATGGGTTCCAAGTGGGTGTCCAATTTCTGCATAATTCATGACTCCCCAGAGAAACAAACATGAACCAAGGGCTGGCTACTTAAGGATCTGGACTATGTCAACGTCCTTAGAATGGCAGCATGGTTTACGAAAATTAACTACAAAAATAATGTGTCTTCAGGGCACCTCTCTTTCCCCACCCTTTCCCTCCTCCCCATCTGACTTCCCCACCCATTCCCACTCCTTTCCCTTTTTGTTCTCTTTTCTCACACTCTTCTTCAGATTTATTTTCCCTTCCATCCCTTTCTCTCTGCCACTCTTGCCTCCTCTTATTCTTTGCCCTGTCTACCCTGTAACTTTCTTGTCTTCTCTCTGCCCTCCCTCTCTCTTTCTATCTCTGTGTGTCTCTGCCTCTCTCTCCATCTCTTTCTGCCCCTCTGTCCCTCCCTCTCGTGCCCCTCTGTCTTTCTCCTTTTTCTTCTTACTCTGACTCTGTACTACTGTCTGACTGTCTTTCTGTAATGCATAATATCTCCCTGCCCATTCTCCTCTTGGCCCCCAGCTCCTGGCTCCCTTTCAAACGTCAAGGCTCCAGCATGTTTGTGGAGAGGCATGCGCCCCATGCTAAATCACCCAGTGTGTGCTACACATCTGGGAAATCACTCTACTTAGATATCCTTGATGATCTGCTGCCAGAGGCCCTGGGTGAGGAGGGCGCTCCTTAGGAGGGAAACTAAATTGGGGCTGGAAGGATGCAGGAAAATTCCAGAGTATTAAGGCAGCAAGGCTAAACAGCTGTGGTCTCCAGAACTTCCTCTGGAGGGAAAGCCACTGGGGCAAGCGTCAACAGCAGAGGGTTCTTTTGTGTTTTGGAGTGTCCATCACTTTGTTTCCAATATACAAACATCTCACTCCACAGTAGGTCGGCAGCGATGTGGCAGCGCCAAGTGTGTGCTGGGAAAGCATTAGCTTCCCCAAATCTCCATCACTCTTGCCAAAGCCAACCAACCTCCTAAAAATACAAAATCTAAGTAAAAACGGAGTGCCTACTATGTATGTAGGTTCCAGACAGCTCTCCCTTTCCCCCAATTTCCCCTCGCCACACACACACACACACACACACACACACAGCTGCTCTACCTTCCAACTGGACATCCATCTCTAAATACCTCCTTTATAGACATTCCAGAGCTTCTCCCATGAATGCGGATAATTGTCCCCAACCTACAAATGAGTAAGCCGAGGAATGAAGAAGTTACTCATGAAGAAGTTACTGGGCAATTTTGGAAGATGCTGCTTTGGAGGGGCCACAGCTTTAAGGGATTAGAATATTTTGCACTTGGCACACCTGAAGTCACCGAAGAAAGGTGAGTTCAGGTGAAACTTTTTCAAAGCTCAACCGCGCCCTCTCCTAATTTGTCTCCCTGGAGGGTGCAGAGTTTTCTAATTTCTTCCATCCAGCTCTTAAACTCGACTTGTCTCCACGCTCACTCGCACACAACACGTGTATGCCCATACCTGCCCTTGTGTATGAATCTCAAGATAAAAACGCCTGGTGTTTAGGCAACTCCCCCTCCCTTCAGTGGAGTACAGAGGAGCGAAACTATGAGTTTTGGCTCGCCGCCCAGCCGGAGGAGCTGGGATACTGCCGCCAGGGATCGTGGGGAAGGCCATGGCTCAAGTCCGAGGACCAGCCAACTCCGTGCTGCCCAGCTGAATGGCCTCTCAGTTGCCTGCAAGTTGAAACCTCAATCGGGCACACAATGAGGCCGCTGTTTTCCGACAGGAGGCATTTGGATGCCTCACACACTCACCCCAAATAGGGCCTGAGAGCAGGGAGCGCATTTCCTTATCCATGTTCAGATGCACCCCTAGAAGCAGCAGAGGCAGCCCGGGGCTCGGGGAGGGAGCCGTTCCCCTCCCCCGCGCCTAGCCACAGGATGCCCGCGCAGGCCACCTGTTGGACTCTGTCTGGACACCCTGTATTGTGCGCCCCTAAAACCCGCACCGCACCGCGGATCAAGACAATCGGGCATTCCGGAGGCTGGATCCGTCAGCAAAAGATAAATTTCACTAGCACCTCCTACTCGGGCTACCTTTCCTGGTGCCCCCACCCATGTCTCTCTGTCTCTTTCTCTGTCTCTTTCTCTCTCACACACACACTTCTTTAATATACCAACAGTCTTTTTTCTTTAGTGAAGCGCGCTTAGGCTGCCCTAAGGGCTAGGTCTGCCCACGATCTCTTAGCGCGCCCAGGCGGCTGCGGATCTCTAAGCGCTTATGCTGGGAGCTAGCTTAACGCGCGGGCGGCTGAAAAGCCCCAAATGGCACGTTGGTGAGGAAGTCAGCGATCTGCTCTAGGGAGCCCCTTTTCTCCTTAGGAAGCGGAAGGGGACTCCCTCCTTGGCTTAGAGATGGAGGGAACTGGGGAAACCCCCGCGGCAATCGAGTTGGAGGAAACAGTGTTGCATTCCTCTGCCAATGCCAGATTAAGCGCAAGGAGACCCAACTTTCTCCCGTCTCTTTGCCGTCCATGCAAGCCGCTAGCTGGGGGTAAAGGGGGCCTCCATTAGCGGCCTACTCACCCCTGGGTATAAACGCTATCCCGCAGGGCCACCAAGCCGACTGGTGCGCGCGGAGTCCGCGAAACGCCTTGGTGTCTCGCTCCTCTCCTGGGCCACGCGGCGAAGGCTACGCACTCCAAGCCGGGCAGCTGAGGGCAGTCGATCCCATGGGTGGCGAGTTGGCAGAGGGCGCGCCGCCCGGGTGGGGGCGCATCGCTCCCAGGTCTGGCGCAGGCTGCGGCGGGGAGAGGGGCTCACAGGGAAGTTGGCGGCTCTGGGGGCGGACTTCGGACTTCGCGCTCGCTCCGGCTCGAGCGTCCGGGTGCGCCCTCCGGGATAGACAAGGGACTTGCCAACGGAATAGGGGCCGGCGCCGGCCAAGCGGCTGCGGAAAGCCTCCGCCGGCCGCCGCCTAGAAGAAGCGAAGCAGCATCGCGCTGCTTAGAGCCCCCAGTAGCGGCTGGAGCAGACAGCGCGCAAGAGAGCGGGGCTGTTTCTCCAGGCTGTGGGTGTCCCTTGCTCACAGCCCAGCTCGCTTCAATCCGCCGTGCCCCTCCTCCTGTTCTAGTCCTCCTCCCCGCCGGTGCTTCGCCGGCTCGCCAGGCTCGCCTGGGACCAGAGGCTGAGCGGAAGGCGGCCGCAGCTCCCGCAGCATGGAGGGCGATCTCGCCGGCTCCGACTCCGGCTCCAGCTGGGGCTTGGGTTCGGGCTCCGGCAGCGGCAGCAGCGGCAGCAGCGGCCGCCACCTCCCGCGCGCCCACGTGCCGGAGTCCCGGTGTGCGCGCTCCGGCTGGCGGGGCTGGAGGGAGGGAGCGAGGGCGAGCCGCGGGTGGGGGCGGCGGGGAGAGGCTGCACAGTCGCGCGTTAGAGGGGAAGCCGCCGAGAGGCTCCCGAAGGCGCGGGGCTCCTCGTCTGCAGCTCCAGGAAGACTGGTGTGCAAGGCTCCCCCAGCTCCCCGCTCCCTTTGCAGAGCGGAGGGAGCCCCAGCGAAACGCGGGCGGGGTGGGGGGAGCTCCACTCCGCAAGATCAGTCGGCCGCGGCGGCCAGAGGCGACTACGTGTCTCCGCCAAGGGGACAGGTTTCTAGTATCCTTGAGCCCCCTCTCCACTCCCGGGAGAAGAAAGGGGTTAAGAAACACCGGGAGAAGGAGTGTGCGGATTCCCAGCGAGAGCTTGTTCCGGCTTGCCCCGCCTTCCTCTCAGAGAAAGCACTTTTCCCGTTAACCAACAGACTCCCAAGGGTTTCTCCTTCCAGGGAGAAGGGAGGTGTCTTGCAAGATGGGCCTGGCAACCTCCAATCAATTGACAAATAATTTGTGAGCACCCACTCTGAGCGACGCCGGGCAGCGTCCGGAGCACAGGGCCCTCCGTAGTTGGGTGTAATGTTGTATTCTTTGCTCTGCGTGCCCTTAGGCAGGCTCTCCCTGGGCCTCATTGCCCTAGCCGTAAAATGAGGTTCTTTTATGATATGAGTAAGAAAAACAAAAACACGAGAATTTTTAAAAAGACAATTTAAAAGATGGGTAATAGCTCAATACTAACAAGAAGGATAATTAAAATAAGAAAATTTCACAGTAGTAGAAAATGAGAACTTTAAAGAGACAAAGTTAGCAAAACACACATAATACTGGACACCATGTGCGATTACTTAGACATCATTGTCTCCAATCTTCTCATCTTAGTGGGGAAATTGAGCCTCAGGGAAGACACGTGGCTTGCCCGCTGTCACACACATCCAGTTTGGTCAGCCCCCAGTCTGGTCTCCTCCTGCCAGTCCTGGGCTTTTTCTGCCACAGGCCAGTACACAAATTATGCTCAGCATTACTGAGACGAGTCATCAGCAAAAGCGGGGAAAGGGAGAAAGAGAGAGAGAGAGAAAGAAAGAGAGAGAGAGATTGAGATTCATTTCCTCTGGAGTTTCCAAAAAAGGCTTCATGAAAGAAGTGGGATTTAAGCTAAAACCTAAAGAGTAGGCAGGATTCGAATAGCTGGAAAAGTGAGAGGAGGATGTGAGAGGTCAAAATGAAGGATGAAGAAAGACGCATTGGAACAGCAGCAAACAAGCTTGGTAGGGGCAGAGAACTTCCCTAGGCAATGGGTGGGCGGGGGTCACTGAAGTGTTTTAAGCAGTAAAATAATGGAAGCTTCATTTTAGCTCGAGCAGTATATCCCTGTACAGGATTGCTTAAGAGGGGAAGAGATGGGGGTAGAGGGAGAAAGAAAAGGAACTGCAGGCAGAGAAAACCATTAGGAAGTCAAGGCAGCTATCTGGGTGCAAGTGAAGCCCTGATGTAATGTGGTAACAGGTAGAAGGTAAAATAAATAAAACTCTTATTGCTTCTGTTTTTAAAAGCCTACTTTATAGGAAGGAGTCTGCTGTTAATTGCAGGGGACATTGTAGAGAAAGGCACCGATGTTTAAGACACGATGGGAAACTGGGGGCCAACCCTCAGATAAAACGGTGGAGCTTTTCACAATAACTGGTCTGAAACAGATCTGGTCCCTTGGTTTTAACATTCAGCACCTGGAAGCTGGACAGCAACCGCCCTTGGTGAAGAATGGCGTAAGTTAGGATTTCTATCAATCAACCAAAAGCAAAAACGAGAAAAGGAAGGGAAAAACGTATTTTCTTTTATTCCTTGGAGGCACTTGAAGTCACAAACGAATGACTTCAGGGATTTCTCAGGTTGTTCCCCTGGAAATAGTCTCTCCATCTAGCACTTTGTCTCCTTGGGTGGATCAGCTGCAACAGCAGCATCTAGAAGTTTGATAGAAACAAAATCTCAGGCCCCAGCACACAGCAATTGAATTAGAAACTTCATCCTAACAAGATTCCTGGCTGATTCATAGGCACATTAAGCCCGAGAGGGGTTTCTTTATGTGTCTCTCCTAAGCCAGTGTCTTCAGACTTTTTAGTGTGATGCTGTATTAGTCTCTTCTCACACTGCTGTAAAGAATACTGCCTGAAACCGAGTCATTTTAATGAAAAGAGGTTTAACTGACTCACAGTTCTGCAGGCTTAACAGGAAGCGTGGCTAGTAGGCCTCAGGAAACTTAGTAGGTGAAGGAGAAGTAGGCATCTTCTTCGCAAGGCAGCAGGAGGGAGTGTGTGGGAGCACAAGGAAGTGCCACAATTTAAAACCATCAGCTCTAGTGAGAACTCACTCACTCTCATGAGAACATGAGCATGGGGAACCAGCCTCATAATCTAATCACCTCCCACCTGGTCTCTCCTCTGACACATGGGGATTAGAATTCGAAATGAGATTTGGGTGGGGACACAGAACGAAACCACATCAGATGAATAGTAAAAACACTTCATATTACACTATAGTCCTACACACACACACACACACACGTAACTTAAATAAAACTTTCACAAAACAACATGTATCCTTAATTTGTGATTCACTTAAATATTTTTATTCCATTTAATTTTTTAATGTGGTCATGACCTACTAATTGATTTTATGTCCTGCAAATGGGCTGCAATTTATGGTTTGAAAAATTTTGAGCTACGATATTAATTATTTCTTCCTTGGGTTTTGATTGCATATATATGTTTATCATATCTCTTCTACTAGCCTGTGAGTTCCCTGAGGGCAAGGTTCAAATATTTTTTATCTTTGAAATGTGTCAGAAATTAACATAGGGTTTTATATGTAGTAGCAACTCAATAAATATTCAAGGAGTCAATCAATCAATGAATGCATAAATTGATTAAAGCTAGGGACTGAGAGCAAGCTGAGGAAGGATGGGGTGAGGCTTGGCACGTAGGAGAAGGCTAAGCCAAGAAAACATTTATTCAAACCTCCACTTTACTGAAACATCATCAATGGACTATTAGAAAAAAGTCATTTCTAAAACAATCATGTATTCCAATGTTCCACTGTCAGCCAGAATATCTTTTTCCAGTAGAGTTCATCTTTACGGCTTCACAAAATTTCAAGCTATGGGGGCTTAAGATGAAGGAAAGCAGCTGAGTAGCTAGCACATATTATTAGAAGAAGAAAAGAAATTAGGAAGGGACAAAGACAAGTTAGTGCACACCTGATCTTATTCTGGGACCAGAGCTACTGACCAAGGAAAAGGAAGAAGTAGGGCTAATTACTTGGATTGAGGAAAATTTTGTCGACTCTATAGAGATACTTGACAATTAGATCTTTCCAAAGTTCAAAATGATTTATTCTGAAGTCACTAATATTTTTTTTCTTGCCACAGGAAATATACCGCAGAAAAGTACTTATTGTTTACCATCCAATAGCACTTTAGAGTGGGAAGTATGATAATTTATTTAATATAAATAAAATCATAACCTAAAGGACAAATACTAGAGTCACAGTATTTCACATTGTAAAGGGATCTCAAGTGTGCACTAGTCCACCTCCTCATTTTAAAGGAATCTGGGGAAGTTTTCACAGATTCTCTTATCACAGGTTCTACAAGAAAGCAGTAGGTCTAGGATTTGATTTCAGGCTTTTAGACTCAGTCACCATGACTGCCTGTTAATCCTACATAGGGATACTGCAAACTACACAGTTAGGAGCCACTGTTTCAGCATAAAGGAGAATGACTGATGCATTGCTTAAAAAGCTGGGAATGAATAATATTTATTAAGTATCTACTATAGAGTAGGCACTAGAGCAGGCATTTTGCATACTTTGTTCCATAAAATCTCCATTAAAAAATCCATAAAGTAGAACATTTTAATCTCCATTTGCAAGTGAGGAAAGAAAGAGTCATAGAGGCTAAGTAATTAGGATTTTAAGACTGGAACGTTGCAGAGCAGGTTTTGAACAAAGAGCTGGATTAATCTAAGTCCATGCTCACTCTCTTATGCTTTACTTCCCAGCCATGGAAAATTTTAAGCAAAAACTGGCAGGGAAATCAAAGGAAAGAATTCTGATTGGATTAAAATAGCTGACCTGAGAAGTAACCCCTTTTGCTGAGATTCTGGGATGCCATAAAGGGTTATTTGCATCAAGGTAGAAACACTATTAAGTAATTTGAGTACACCCTGGTGTGTAGAATCCACAAACTGATGAAGTAGTGGCCATGATATGTGAAAGCTAATGCTGCTGTTAACAGCTGCATTGGCCACAGCTCAATAGTAAGTTTTGCATTAGAAGAATTTCACTCCCTGTATAAATTAGGATTATTTTCTTTGTCAGAATAACAGATACCAACATATACTAGTTTAGGGTAGAGGGTAGAAAATTAAAGAATCAGTTAAACAAATACATGGAAAGTAATGAAACAAAGTCTCTAGAAGGAACTGGAATGTCAGGATGAAATCTTTCTCAATTTTATGTGGTCTCTTTTTATATATCTCTATCTCCATCTCTAAATGCTCCTTTTCAACTCACTGTCTTGCTATGCTTATACTTCTTTCTGCAAAAGAACTCTCTGCATCTGTGCCCCCATGGCAGAAAATGTCTATCTCATGCATTTCACAGGTATTTTTTAACTTACTGTCTCTGGGCCCCAAGTCTTATCTACTAGGAGACAGCATCTCATTAGCCCATCTAGAGTCAAATGTCTACTCCTGGATAATCAAACAGAACCAGGGGTATGGACTCACAGTACCAACAAGACTGCTAGAAGCTTAGCTTTGTGAGTTACATATAAAGTGAGGAAGGTGACTGGGATAAGTACCAGAAAGAGTGTAAAAATCTGGCTACTACACTCCTTACCAAGAACAATCTAGTGCTTTAGAAATTGTGTTGGGGATCTTATTATACACATATTAGATTCTAGGAGATTACCCTTGAGACATGAGTGTTGGTGATGTTATAGCTGATTTAAAGCCCCAAAGTACAAAAGGATCCCCCTTTGAAGATTCCTGCCACTCATAATCCCCACTGCATGAACCACATGGTTCCAGAATTAACGGGAAATAATGAATGTCCCAGGCAGCCTGTATCTACCATTTTATCTGAAGATTCACCCTATGCTTGGTTTCCTTGAAAGAACACTGAAATCGGGATTCAGAACACCTGGATTCAGACCCTAACTCTGCCCTTACCTGTTATGCAATTTGGGGCAAGTTACTTCACCTTATCAAAATGAAAGACTATTAAGCATGCCCTGCCCTACCTCAGAAAGCTGTTCTGAGAAGCAAATGAGATACTGTCTGTGAAGCCAGCTTTATGTAAAATCTGAAGCACTAAGCAAATGCAAGGGATTATTAGTAATACAAAAAATAACAGGAAGGCAATGAGTTGTAACACTTAGGTTACCTTTGCAAATATCCACCATGCTCTTTGGAGTAGAAAAAATCATGCTGCAAGAAATGTAATGAATGTGAAGCATGTTTATTCTATTTTATGAGGCATGGTAGGGTGAAAAAGATCAGTGTAGCTCCAAAGTGAAGGACTGAAAAGTGTATTGTTTCTAGAAAAAAAACAGACCCTTCTCTGGTAATAATATCAGAACTAGCAATACAGTAATAACAATAATTATCATATGGTTGCCATGTTCCAGGCATCATGCTAAATACTTCCCATGTAGTAACTCTTTAAATGTATATTACCTCCTCAGTTGGTTTCTGTTATTGTTTCTGTGTTAAAGATTAGGAAACTAAAGCAGGGCAAGTTAATAATTCACACATAGTCTCAGAGATAAGTGGTACAGTCTAGATTAAACCCCAGTTTACTTTAATTCAAAGTGAAACAACCAACACACTATTCTGTATTTTATATCCTTAGAGGAAAAATGTGATAAATGCCAAGTTTTAATGGTAAAAAAAATTATGTAAAGGAAAGCATCTAACAAAAACTATTAAGTTATAAATCCACATATGTGTTTGATGTGTGATATTTTTCCATTGGATATGGATGATCACTAAGCACAACTGAACCAATTTAATCACTACACACCTATTTAAAGGTGTTGGAATAACAATACCAATTACTGATGAGGATGCTGAGTAACAAGAACTCTCATCATTGCTGATGAGAATGCAAACTGGAAGACAGTGTGGCAGTTTCTTAGAAAGCTAAACAAAGTCTTACCATACAATCAAGTAAATGAATGTTAGGTGTTTACTCCACCTATTTGACAATATCTTCACACAGAAACCAGCAGGCAAATCATAAACACCAAGAACTAGAAGCAACCAAGATATTCTTCAACGGATAAATGGATAAACAATCTGTAGTACATCAATATAATATGTAGAAGTCAGTGGTTTTCAGTGATCAAAAACTGAGCTGTAAAGCCACACAAGATAGGGATGAATCTTAAATATATATTTATCAGTGAAAGAAGCTAGTTTGTAAGGGCTACACACCATATAATTCTTTTATGCAACATTCTGGGAAAGGCAAGGCTATAGAAATGGGAAACCAATCAGTGGTTGCCAGGGACTTGTGGGAGGAGGAGAATGGAATAGTAAAGTACAGGGAATTTTTTTAGGGTGGTAAAACTATTCTGTGTGGTACTGTAATGGTGGATAAATGACATTATGCATTTGTCAAAAACCACATAACTTTACAACACAAGAGTGAACCTCAATGTGTGCAAATTTTAACAAATCATTTAGGAGGTCAGGGGATCCCAAGAAAGAATGTAGACTTTGACAGGTGAATTTAACTGTACTATAAATGTATGAATGTACTATAAATGTATGAGAGAAGACTAGAGAGATCCATGTGGTAATGGATTAGAGTTGCAGAAAACAGTATTAACTCAAGTTTAATATAGATACAGATGGATACAAACAGAAATAATTATAGATATGTGAACGTGCGCAGGATAGGATACAGATATATATTTCCTTTCTCTGTCACCTAAGAAATTCTAAAAGCAATGATACCCCAGTAACTGCACACACGTAGCATCCAGATTTTAATTTCTGATATCAGTATCCAATAAAAAGAACCAAAGCTCCTTGGAGAAATGTCTGATTCTATAAATGGGACAAGAAACGTTCAAAATAATTCTGGGGCATCTTATAGTGCCAGTAAGTAAGAAAGTGCTCAAAACACACACACACACACACACACACTCTGTCTCACACACACACAGACACACATACAGTAATAAGGTATATTAAATGGACAAAGGAGCCAACTGAAAGAGCTCACAATGAACAAAACTGGAACAATTTGAACAAAAAAAGGTATTGAATTATAGCCTAAAGCATACAATAAATATTCATGTGTCCACACTGATAGAAATATATGATTGAATAAATACATAAATGAGGACAAAGAGATAAATCTCCCATGGAAAAGAATTCCAAATAATTTCTGTAGATACTCTCCCTCTCAAGGAGATGGAGCATAAATAACCCTCTATCCCCTATGTGTGGGCTAGGCATAGTGAATTCTCTCCAAAGAGTAAAGTATGCAAGAGGGACAAAGAGGAACTTAACAGTGGAGAAACGTGAAAAGCCCTGTCTTATCCAAGTGATCAAGGTTAACATCAATAGTGATGTCAAGTTGATAGTACGTACTCTTGAAATAAGTAATATGATGAAAATGACATTTTACCTCTGTGGTCTTCCTCCAAAGCACTCATAACCACAGTCTAATTGTGAGGAAAACATAAAATGAATCCCAGTTGAGAGATAGCCTACAAAATATCTAGCCAAAATACCAGTTTGTTCAAAATTGTCAAAATCATGAAAAACAAAGACATTCTGGGAAAATGTCACAGCCAAGAGATACCTAACATGATAATAACTAAATGTAATGTGATATCTTAATGAGATCTTGGAAAAGAAAAAGTGTATTTGATTTAAAACCAAGATATTTGATTATAATCAACTTTAGTTAATAATAATATATATTGGTTCATTAATTTATCAAATGTACCATAATAATATATTATCTCATAATAGAGAAAGTGGATATGAGGTATATGGGACTCTGTACCAGTTTGGTAATTTTTCTGTAAATAGAAAACCATTCGAGGAGGGGTGGAGCCAAGATGGCCAAATAGGAACAGCTCCAGTCTATAGCTCCCAGCGTGAGCGATGCAGAAGATGGGTGATTTCTGCATTTCCAGCTGAGGTACTGGGTTCACCTCACTGGGGAGTGTCGGACAGTGGGTTCAGGACAGTGGGTGCAGTACACTGAGCCTGAGTGGGAGCCGAAGCAGGGTGATGCATTGCCTCACCCAGGAAGTGCAAGGGGTAAGGGAATTCCCTTTCCTAGTCAAAGAAAGGGGTGACAGATGGCACCTGGAAAATCGGGTAACTCCCACCCTAATGCAGCACTTTTCCAAAGGTCTTAGCAAACGGCACACCTGGAGAATATATCCTGCACCTGGCTCAGAGGGTCCTACACCCACGGAGCCTCGCTCATTGCTAGCACAGCAGTCTGAGATCAAACTGCAAGCCGGCAGCAAGGCTGGGGGAGGGGCGCCCGCCATTGCCAAGGCTTGAGTAGGTAAACAAATCAGCTGGGAAGCTCGAATTGGGTGAAGCCCACCACAGCTCAAGGAGGCCTGCCTGCCTCTGTAGACTCCACCTCTGGGGGCAGGGCATAGCCAAACAAAAGGCAGCAGAAACCTCTGCAGACTTAAATGTCCCTGTCTGACAGCTTTGAAGAGAGTAGTGGTTCTCCCAGCACGCAGCCTGAGATCTGAGAATGAACAGATTGTCTCCTCAAGTGGGTCCCTGACCCCCAAGTAGCCTAACTGGGAGGCACCCCCCAGTAGGGGCAGACTGACACCTCACATGGCTGGGTACTCCTCTGAGACAAAACTTCCAAAGGAAAGATCAGGCAGCAACATTTTCTGTTCACCAATATCCACTGTTCTGCAGCCTCCACTGCTGATACCCAAGCAAACAGGGTCTGGAGTGGACTTCCAGCAAATTCCAACAGAGCTGCAGCTGAGGGTCCTGACTGTTAGAAGGAAAACTAACAAACAGAAAGGACATCCACACCAAAACCCCATCTGTATATCACCATCATCAAAGACCAAAGGTAGATAAAACCACAAAGATGGGAAAAAAACAGAACAGATAAACTGGAAACTCTAAAAATCAGAGCACCTCTCCTCCTCCAAAGGAATGCAGCTTCTCACCAGCAACAGAAGAAAGCTGGACAGAGAATAACTTTGACAAGTTGAGAGAAGAAGGCTTCAGACGATCAAACTACTTCGAGCTAAAGGAGGAAGTTCGAACCCATGGCAAAGAAGTTAAAAACCTTGAAAAAAAATTAGATGAATGGCTAACTAGAATAACCAATGCAGAGAAGTACTTAAAGGACCTGATGGAGCTGAAAACCATGGCATGAGAACTATGTGACGAAAGCACAAGCCTCAGTAGCTGATTTGATCAACTGGAAGAAAGGGTATCAGTGATGGAAGATCAAATGAATGAAATGAAGCAAGAAGGGAAGTTTAGAGAAAAAAGAATAAAAAGAAACAAACAAAGCCTCCAAGAAATATGGGACTATGTGGAAAGACCAAATCTGCGTCTGATTGGTGTACCTGAAAGTGATGGGGAGAATGGAACCAAGTTGGAAAACACTCTGCAGGATATAATCCAGGAGAACTTCCCCAATTTAGCAAGGCAGGCCAACATTCAAATTCAGGAAATACAGAGAATGCCACAAAGATACTCCTCAAGAAGAGCAACTCCAAGACACATAATTGTCAGATTCGCCAAAGTTGAAATGAAAGAAAAAATGTTAAGGGCAGCCAGAGAGAAAGGTCGGGTTACCCACAAAGGGAAGCCCATCAGACTAACAGCTGATCTCTCAGCAGAAACTCTACAAATCAGAAGAGAGTGGGGGCCAATATTCAACATTCTTAAAGAAAAGAATTTTCAACCCAGAATTTCATATCCAGCCAAACTAAGCTTCATAAGTGAAGGAGAAATAAAATACTTTACAGACAAGCAAATGCTGAGAGATTTAGTCACCACCAGGCCTGCCCTAAAAGAGCTCCTGAAGGAAGCACTAAACGTGGAAAGGAACAACCGGTACCAGCCACTGCAAAAACATTCCAGATTGTAAAGACCATCGAGGCTAGGAAGAAACTGCATCAACTAACGAGCAAAATAACCAGCTAACATCATCATGACAGGATCAAATTCACACATAACAATATTAACTTTAAATGTAAATGGGCGAAATGTTCCAATTAAAAGACACAGACTGGCAAATTGGATAAAGAGTCAAGACCCATCAGTGTGCTGTATTGAGGAAACCCATCTCATGTGCAGAGACACACATAGGCTCAAAATAAAGGGATGGAGGAAGATCTACCAAGCAAATGGAAAACAAAAAAAGGCAGGGGTTGCAATCCTATTCTCTGATAAAACAGACTTTAAACCAACAAAGATCAAAAGAGACAAAGAAGGCCATTACATAATGGTAGAGGGATCAATTCAACAAGAAGAATTAACTCTCCTAAATATACATTCACCCAATACAGGAGCACCCAGATTCATAAAGCAAGTCCTTAGAGACCTACAAAGAGACTTAGACTCCCACACAATAATAATGAGAGACTTTAACACCCCACTGACAACATTAGACAGGTCAAGACAGAAAGTTAACAAGGATATCCAGGAATTGAACTCAGCTCTATACCAAGCGGACCTAATAGACATGTACAGAACTCTCTACCCCAAATCAATAGAATATACATTCTTTTCAGCACTACACAACACCTATTCCAAAATTGACCACATAGTTGGAAATAAAGCA
Source organism: Homo sapiens (assembly GCF_000001405.40). Lineage (NCBI taxonomy): Eukaryota > Metazoa > Chordata > Mammalia > Primates > Hominidae > Homo > Homo sapiens. Next base: position 155,717,345 of record NC_000005.10, on the reverse strand, counting down.
CTCCTCGGCAAATGTAAAAGAACAGAAATTACAACAAACTGTCTCTCAGACCACAGTGCAATCAAACTAGAACTCAGGATTAAGAAACTCACTCAAAACCACTCAACTACATGGAAACTGAACAACCTGCTCCTGAATGACTACTGGGTACATTACGACATGAAGGCAGAAATAAAGATGTTCTTTGAAACCAAAGAGAACAAAGACACAACATACCAGAATCTCTGGGACACATTCAAAGCAGTGTGTAGAGGGAAATTTATAGCACTACATGCCCACAAGAGAAAGCAGGAAAGATCTAAAATTGACACCCTAACATCACAATTAAAAGAACTAGAGAAGCAAGAGCAAACACATTCAAAAGCTAGCAGAAGGCAAGAAATAACTAAGATCAGAGCAGAACTGAAGGAAATAGAGACACAAAAAAACCCTTCAAAAAATCAATGAATCCAGGAGCTGGTTTTTTGAAAAGATCAACAAGATTGATAGACTGCTAGCAAGACTAATAAAGAAGAAAAGAGAAAAGAATCAAATAGACACAGTAAAAAATGACAAAGGGGATATCACCACTGATCCCACAGAAATACAAACTACCATCAGAGAATACTACAAACACCTCTATGCAAATAAACTAGAAAATCTAGAAGAAATGGATAAATTCCTCAACACATACACTCTTCCAAGACTAAACCAGGAAGAAGTTGAATCTCTGAATAGACCAATAACAGGCTCTGAAATTGAGGCAATAATTAGTAGCTTAGCAACCAAAAAAAGTCCAGCACCGGATGGATTCACAGCCAAATTCTACCAGAGGTACAAGGAGGAGCTGATACCATTCCTTCTGAAACTATTCCAATCAATAGAAAAAGGGGGAATCCTCCCTAACTCATTTTATGAGGCCAGCATCATCCTGATACAAATGCCCGGCAGAGACACAACAAAAAAAGATAATTTTAGACCAATATCCTGATGAACATCGATGCAAAAATCCTCAATAAAATACTGGCAAACCAAATCCAGCAGCACATCAAAAAGCTTATCTACCATGATCAAGTGGGCTTCATCCCTGGGATACAAGTCTGGTTCAACATATGCAAATCAATAAATGTAATCCAGCATATAAACAGAACCAACGACCAAAACCACATGATTATCTCAATAGATGCAGAAAAGGCCTTTGACAAAATTCAACAACACTTCATGTTAAAAACTCTCAATAAATTAAGTATTGATGGGACATATTTCAAAATAATAAGAGCTATTTATGACAAACCCACAGCCAATATCATACTGAATGGGCAAAAACTGGAAGCATTCCCTTTGAAAAGTGGCACAAGACAGGGATGCCCTCTCTCACCATTCCTATTCAACATAGTGTTGGAAGTTCTGTCCAGGGCAATCAGGCAGGAGAAGGAAATAAAGGGTATCAATTAGGAAAAGAGGAAGTCAAATTGTCCCTGTTTGCAGATGACATGATTGTATATCTAGAAAACCCCATCGTCTCAGCCCAAAATCTCCTTAAGCAGATAGGCAACTTCAGCAAAGTCTCAGGATACAAAATCAATGTGCAAAAATCACAAGCATTCTTATACACCGATAACAAACAGAGAGCCAAATCATGAGTGAACTCCCATTCACAATTGTTTCAAAGGAATAAAACACCTAGGAATCCAACTTACAAGGGACGTGAAGGACCTCTTCAAGGAGAACTACAAACCACTGCTCAATGAAATAAAAGAGGATACAAAGAAATGGAAGAACATTCCATGCTCATGGGTAGGAAGAATCAATATCGTGAAAATGGCCATACTGCCCAAGGGAATTTATAGATTCAATGCCATCCCCATCAAGCTACCAATGGCTTTCTTCCCAGAATTGGAAAAAACTACTTTAAAGTTCATATGGAACCAAAAAAGAGCCCTCATTGACAAGTCAATCCTAAGCCAAAAGAACAAAGCTGGAGGCATCATGCTACCTGACTTCAAACTACACTACAAGGCTACAGTAACCAAAACGGCATGGTACTGGTACCAAAACAGAGATATAGACAAATGGAACAGAACAGAGCCCTCAGAAATAATGCCACATATCTACAACTATCTGATCTTTGACAAACCTGACAAAAAGAAGAAATGGGGAAAGGATTCCTTATTTAATAAATGGTGCTGGGAAAACTGGCTAGCCTTATGTAGAAAGCTGAAACTGGATCCTTCCTTACACCTGATACAAAAATTAATTCAAGATGGATTAAAGACTTAAATGTCAGACCTAAAACCATAAAAACCCTAGAAGAAAACCTAGGCAATAACATTCAGGACATAGGCATGGGCAAGTATTTCATGTATAAAACACAAAAAGCAATGGCAACAAAAGCCAAAATTGACAAACGGGATCTAATTAAACTAAAGAGCTTCTGCACAGCAAAAGAAACTACCATCAGAAAGAACAGGCAACCTACAGAATGGGAGAAAATTTTTGCAATCTACTCATCTGACAAAGGGCTAATATCCAGAATCTACAATGAACTCAAACAAATTTATAAGAAAAAACCAAACAACCCCATCAACAAGTGGGTGAATGATATGAACAGACACTTCTCAAAAGAAGACATTTATGCAGCTAAAGACACACGAAAAAATGCTCATCGTCATTGGCCATCAGAGAAATGCAAATCAAAGCCACAATGAGATACCATCTCACACCAGTTAGAATGGCAATCATCAAAAAGTCAGGAAACAACAGGTGCTGGAGAGGATGTGGAGAAACAGGAACACTTTCACACTGTTGGTGGGACTGTAAACTAGTTCAACCATTGTGGAAGACAGTGTGGTGATTCCTCAGGGATCTAGAACTAGAAATACCATTTGACCCAGCCATCCCATTACTGGGTATATACCCAAAGGACTATAAATCATGCTGCTATAAAGACACATGCACATGTATATTTATTGCAGCACTATTCACAATAGCAAAGACTTGGAACCAACCCAGATGTCCAACAATGATAGACTGGATTAAGAAAAGGTGGTACATACACACCATGGAATACTATGCAGCCATAAAAAATGATGAGTTCATGTCCTTTGTAGGGACATGGATGAAGCTGGAAACCATCATTCTCAGCAAACTATCACAAGGACAAAAAACCAAACACCGCATGTTCTCACTCATAGGTGGGAACTGAACAGTGTGACACATGGACATAGGAAGGGAACATCATACACTGGGGCCACTTGTGGGGTGGGGGGAGGGGGGAGGGATAGCATTAGGAGATATACCTAATGTTAAATGACGAGTTACTGGGTGCAGCACACCAACTTGACACATGTATACATATGTAAAAAACCTGCACATTGTGCACATGTACCCTAAAACTTAAAGTATAATTTAAAAAAACCATTCTAAAACAAAAGTTTAATTTTTAAGATGTAAAATAATAACAACAATAATTAATTATAAAGCCTCAGGAGATATCTACAGGAACTACATAGTATTCTTTTCTCCAATAATAAAGTGTTTAGAGCAAGAAAGTCCAAAACAAAACAAAATGAAAACAAAACTTAACTAATTTAGATTCATCAAGGAGAAAAAAAAACTGCTAATTTTCCAGAGAGGTCAATGTTCCCATTAAAAATCATTAGAAGCCTCATGTTGTAGTCAAGAACAATCCTCCTCCTCATTTTTCTGCTTGCTAGGCCTGTTCTGTTCATATTTAATGGCTATTTAGACATCTCAGAGATAATATTGATCTGTGCCTTAAAGTGGAATTGATTATTCAGCATGCCACTATTAAAATGTCCCTACATTGCACAGATATTTTCAGCATACAGGAATGCCATTTTGTCAACAGCATGTATTCAGTGGCTGTAAGAGTCAATCTTGGCCAAGCAGATAAAGTCAAGTTTCATGAAGAGAGTTTGATTTAGGTTTTTAGAAAAAGCAAAATGCAAGTGTGGATGTAGAAGACCATGTGCCAATTTAATTCTGGAAAGAAAAATAGAGGGAGTCCTTTAAAAGGATGACTGTTTTATATCATTTGGAGATTACTTAGTGGAGAAAAATGTGTATATGGTAACTGCAGCCATTTGAACCAAGTAAAACAATTAGGAAGTGATTCAAATTCCAATTTCCATTCATTTTTCTCATCATTGGCTTGGTGGAGGGCAGAAGAGTAAAATGAAGATTGCCAGCCAGTTCAGAATTACTAAAGGGAAAGACTCTACATTCTATTATTCACACATACTATGGCAAACCAGGCAGAATTGCACTATTCTTCTGGACTTCAAAAGCTGTATAATTTTTCCACCAATACCTTCTAGGTACAGTATTTTCTTTAGAAAACATGTTTTATGTGAGTCATTTTTGTTGTTGTTGTAGTTTTGAGTAACACAAATATTACTTCCATGCAGGTTATCTCTTCTCCCAGAAAGTGTTTCCAGGATAAAAATTTGAGATCCAGCATAGCAATGTAACCAAACTTTTTTTTCTTTAGCATTCTGGAACTTTATGATATTAAGTTACATATGTGAGATTTTAATGTTGTAAATTTAGCAAATCTAGTTAATGGTTAGAAAATATTGAAGTAAAATGGGCTGGGCATGGTGGCTTATGCCTGTAATCCCAGCACTTTGGGAGTCTGAGATGGGTGGATTGCTTGAGTCCAGGAGTTCAAGACCAGCCTGGGCAACATGGTGAAACCCCGTCTCTACTAAAAATACAAAAAAATTAGCTGTGCATGGTGACAGGCGCCTGTAATCCCAGCTACTCGGGAGGCTAAGGCAGGAGAACTGCTTGAACCCAGGAGGTGGAGGTTACAATGAGCTGAAACTGTGCCAGTGCACTGCAGCCTGGACAACAGAGTGAGACTCTGTCTCAAAAAAAAAGATAAAAAAGAAAGAAAATACTGAAGTAAGATATCATGGAGTATGGGCCCAACTCCATTCCTAGGTATGTACCCCAAACTAGAGTTCAAACAAAAACTTATATGTAAATGTTCATAGCAGCACTGTTTGCAATAGCCAAAAGGTGAAAACAACCCAAATAGCCAGCAATGATAAAAGAATATGCAAATGTAGTATATCTATACAATGGAATGTTATTCAGACATAAAAAGAAATGATACTTGCTGTAACATAGATTAACCTTGAAAACATTATATTCAGTGAAAGAAGCCAGGTCACATATTACATGACATATTCAGACTATGCAATTTCATAGAGATAGAAAGCATAGTTGCCAGGGACTAGGGGAAGTGAGGAATGGGAAGTGGCCGCTTCCTTTTGGGATGATGAAATGTTCTAGAACTAGACAGTGGTGATGGTTGCAGAACATTGTGAATGTACTAAAAGCCACTGAATTGTATACTTTTAAATGGTTAAAATGGTGAGTTTTATATCATGTGAATCTTACTCCTTAAAAATATAAGTATTTGGATATATTATAAGGACACATTTTGGGAAGTACCTGTAGACTGAACCTCTAACCTTGTGTAATTGTAACAGCCTTTTTCTTCATGTGGAAAGTAGGAGGGAATTAGCAAACAGGAAGCATAGATACTGGCAAGACAAAAGTGCGTGGAGAAAAGGGCTCCCGGGGAATCAACTGCCTATGGGTACTCTGCCTGGCTGTTTTTTTCCACCTAAAACATCAGAAGTAGAAACAAACCAACCAACCAAAAACCCAAAAAACCTCCCATCAGGCAGGGGAGCAGATGGAGACTGAGATGGTCTGTCAGGCCAGGAACGGGCTGTGGTGAGTACAACACTAGTCAGGGACTGTGTGTGGCATCTGAGAAGGGCATTGAGAGCATCCATTGTGCTCTGCGAAGTTAATGGCAGATGTGGCCAGACTGTAGATGGGGTTGTTTAGTGGAGCCATGGGGAGACACCTGACTGGAAGGGCCATGGACAGACAGCAGATCAATGAAGAAGCATAGACATGAGAGGGGATGCAGGGTATGAGCATGAAATTATGAAGGAAGTCAAGTTAAAGCAGGATTTGCCAAACACATTTGGTCTCAGGTTTCTTTTGGGGATGTGGTAGACCTCATTTGTTATTTTTCAAGACACGAGTATTTCATGAGTCACACTTTTAAAAAGTGTGCCGAAAAGAAAAGCAATGTCCAGCTGAAATGAAGCCAGTGATAATTCACATGATAAAAGCAGTTTCCTTTTATGTTTTGCTTTTGTTTTGAGACGGGGTCTTCCTCTGTCACCCAGGCTGGTCTTGAACTCCTGGCCTCAAGTGATCCTCTCACCTTGGCCTCCCAAATCGCTGGGATTATAGGCATGAGCCACCATGCCCAGCCAGTAGGTTCCATTTGCTTTGTGTTAACTAAGGGCCAGGTCTGTGCTGACAGCATCACATGGATTCTCTCATTTAATACCCACAATTATCCCTCAAGGGAGGTGTCATTAGATGATGGAACTGAAGATTGGAGAGGTCAAGGAACTCTCTCAAGTTCTCACATCTAACTAGTGGCTGAACTGGTTAGAAGCTAGGAGTCTGCCTGCAATGCCTGTTCTTGTCATCACAGAGGTACTTCCAAGAACAGCAATACTCATACAAAAGTGTCCAGGGTAAACCTAGTGGGCCTTTGACCTATAATAACCTGACTGTGAGGAAATATGCAAAGGTCCAAAAGCTAATGAAAGAAGACAGCGTGAAAACCAAGGTATAAGTGTGAAACAAAAGAAAAAGAGATATCAGCAATATACTTTATTGCAAGTATCTATTTATACAACTGTAACCCCCAATAAACTAAGAGCTGCTAGTAGGCAGGAACCCTGAATTTTTCACCCCAGTGCTTAATATAGTGTCTGGTACACAGTGAGCCTGTAATAAATATTTTGAATGCATGGATGAATAAAACTGTGCGTCTTGTATAGTGACTGATAAGAATAATAATGGTTGCTACCATATATTGAGAATTTAATTTGTGCTTAGAAATGTACATTCCATAAAGATTGTATCTTATTTTTGCCTCCCCACAAATACATACTATTACCTCATATTACAAAAAGACTGAGGTTTAAATAACTTTTCCAAATTTAATTGTCTAGTAAAAAGTGAACTGGGTTTCAAACCATAATCTCTATGATTCTAAGTCCCAGATGATTACACCTCTTCTATTTTCTATAATAGATTATCTATCCCTTGGTGAGGAGGGACTGGTTATTATGCACTTTTTGGAAAATGGAAAATGAAAATTGTAACGTTAGATTTAAAAAACAGAATGCAAAATTATACATGTGCTTTGATTACAACCATGCAAAACCTCACATAAATACAAAGGAAACCAGCAGAAGTTTGGAAAATAAAACAATCGCATAAGAATGGTGAGGCTAAGGGTGATTTTTAAACATTTTTCTAAATTGTTTTAATGCTATTTTAAAACTAAATAAGAATTTAAGAAAATACAAGTGTAGTAAAATAAATTGTTATGTGTCCACAAACTGATTGCTTTAAGCAGAATCATCGCTTTTGAGCCCTAGGTTGTAGATCCAAGACAGTTATATGACACCTCAGGTACCATATTTTCCTAAAAATATGGCAAATCTCTATGAAACAGGAATTTTGAGTCTTTCTGAATTCTCCAGTTCAGATTAAAATCTGAAAATATGATCCACTGTTTTCCTCAGTGGAACATTCAAAAATATCACTTGCTGTAAATGTAACTTCAAACCAGTTTCTTCCTTCATATAATCTATAAAATATCCTCTGTTTCCATGTATATTGAGTTTTATTATTATTTAAAAACATCAACTCTGCTATCAAGCTTTAATCTTGGGGTCACTTATATTTTTAAAAGCCAGGGTCAATGTATGGCATTTCCTCCCCAAAACCGCTGGGACTCCCCATCAAATAAAGAATAGTCAGAACTGGATCTAGAACCAGAAATTCCATTTGACCCAGCAATCCCATTACTGAGTATATACCCAAACGATTATAAATCATTCTACTATAAAGACACATGCACGCGTATGTTTACTGCAGCACTATTTACAATAGCAAAGACTTGGAACCAACCCAAATGCCCATCAATGATAGACTGGATAAAGAAAATGTGGCACATATATACCCTGGAATACTATGCAGCCATAAAAAAGGATGAGTTCATGTCCTTTGCAGGGACATGGATGAAGCTGGAAACCATCATTCTCAGCAAACTAACACAGGAACAGAAAACCAAACACTGCATATTCTCACTCATAAGTGGGAGTTGAACAATGAGAACACATGGACACAGGGAAGGGAACATCACACACCGGGGCCTGTCAAGGGGTGGGGGACAAGGGGAGGGATAGCATTAGGATAAATACCGAATGCAGATGATGGGTTGATGGGTGCAGCAAACCACCATGGCATGTGTATACCTATGAAACAAACCTGCACATTCTGCACATGTATCTCAGAACTTAAAGTATAATTTAAAAAAAGAAAAAAAAATAGTCAGAACTCTTTATCCTAATCTCCATCCATCCTACTATTCCCTCCCACTATCCTCTGTGGATCATATGCTCTACTCACATTTTGCCATTTACATCCATGATTTCCTGCCTTTCTCCTAATATTGATTTGGTCTCAAATGCCTTGCCTCACATATCAAATCTCCATTCATTCCTCAAGACTCAAGAAAACAACTTTGGTTATAACTTTAATGACACCCCAGGCCCCTGTTTAAATGACTCATTATGTTGTGATCCCAACATATAATATTGTATGTCTATAGCTTACTACATTCTGTCTTTTATAATATAATATTAGATAACATTTATCAAATATATTGGTTATGCATTTTACATGCATGAGTTCATTTAAAATAACCACATTAGGAGCTAAGCGCTATGAGCCCCATTTTAGAAAAGAGGAAATGGAGACCAGGATAATAAAGTGCCTCCCCCAAGAGTACAGTACATAAGCAGCAGGGACATGCTTTGGACTTAGGCATTCCTGAGTCTGAAACTTGTGCTCTTAACAATATTTTTTAAAATGCTCTGCAAATTTCCAGTTGTCTTGCTGGGAAATTAATTGGAGGCGAATCGTTCGGATGGCAGAAACACATGCATTTGATGTACATGTCAAGCGCTTAGCTGCAATGCTATGCTGAGCCTGAGGCAAAACAAAAAACTCAGCAATACTGATCCTGTGTTTACTTAAAATTTGGTATTTTTTCACTGTGGATTGGCTTGCATTTATATGATTTTTAAAAACATTATATAAAATATTATTTTTCTTGAAAACTGAGATTTTTGGCATTCTCTTAACCTTTGCACCCAAGGTGAGTACCTTACCTGCCTCTCTCTAATCATGCCCTGCCTAGCACAATGTCTATTACATAGAGGGCACTCAAAAAACATTGGCTCATATATTATGTTTAATACACATGTCACTTTTTTATACAAGACCTTAAACTTTTTGAAGGCAGTCACTGTAATTGGTCTCTTTTTGTAATCCTGATACCTCCATACTGTATTTTTTACAGTCAGAACTTCAAAAAAATGTTTTGAGTGAAAAATATTTCCTCTCTCACTTTACACTGTGGTAGATCTGTATTCCACAATGCTCACGAAAAAGAAACTCTTTATGAAAAGCTTGCAATCTGACTATAGTTTTAATTTTCTATCAGCTTCCAGATCAAATGGTTCATGACCAAAAAGCCAAAGTAAGAACTAAAAGTCAACTTAGTTTCTTCTAAATTCTGCCCTAAAGTTCTTCATCCGAAGTCTTGAAAAGCTACTTTTAGCTTAAGGATGCTTTACATGACTGTAGCTAATCCTCCAAAAACAAAAACAGGACTCCTACCGTTAATGAGTCATGATACTTTGTGCAACTGCAAAATATAGGTCAAAGAGTCGTTTCAAACTTTTGAAAGATAATTATCCTTCTTTCTGCAGCCTTTTAGTGGTACAGCCTTTTGGCCAACTAAAGATACTCTGCAGTGTGAAGTTATTGTTAGATAGCCTTGGTTTATATTCTAGCTCCATCACTTACTAGCTGTGTGGTGTTTGCAAGATCTAGAATTTTTCTAAGCCACATCTGAAAAATTGAGATAATAATAATTTCTCTGTTAATGAATTGTTATAAGTTTTAAGTGACAAAATGCTATGTCTAGCACACAGTCATTTCTCAATAAATATTAACTTTTATTTTTCATTTAACACATGTATATTGAGTACTACTATATGTCAGGTACTGCTAGGCACTGGAAATACAGGCTAGAATAGACGCACAAAGAATGGTTGTTAAATTTGGCAATATTCATTGAATATCTTCTGTACACGGTGCTCTACTAGAAGCACCTTGTACTTGTAGAAAAACAATGAGGAATAAAATAAAATTCCAGCCTTCAGTAGTATTACATTATATTAGTCTAGAAATGTTATTCATTTAAAATAAAAAAGACTACTAATTATTACAGTAAAGAAAATGATAAATAAATCTGAGTTTAAGGAAAAACCAAAACATACAGTACTATTGCCAATTTAATGCAAGAAGGCCTGGAGGGAAAATGTTGCCTCTTTGCTAAATTACATAAAACAAATAAAGTTTATTCTGGAAAAAATGTAGAAAAGATTGCATTAGACTGAGAGAAGGTAGATTCTGGCCACAATCTGTACTAGTAATGGTAGCTTGGTGAAGTCATTTTATCTCTTTCTTATAAAATGGGGTTGTTCAGAGGATTAAGTAAAATAATCTTTGTGAGTTTGTCAGTTTAGGTCCTCTAAGAAGTGGGTGCGCGACAGAATGAGAAGCACATGAGCTTTATTGGGGTGAATGCCTTTGAAGATGTTATGGTCTGAATTGTTCCACCCCCTCACCCCCTTCCCCATTCGTATGTCAAAGTCCCAATCCTCAGTACCTCATTTAGAATGTGACTGTATTTGAAGAAGCGTCTTAAAGAGGTAATTAAGTTAAAAGGAGGTTATATGGGTGGGCCCTAATCCAATCTGGCTGGTGCCCTTACAAGAAGAGGAGATTTGGACACAGACACACACAGAAGGAAGACCAAGTAAACACATAGGGAGATGATGGCCATCTATAAGCCAAGGAGAGAGGCCTCCAAAGAAACCTACTTGCTAACTCCCTGATCTGGGACTTCCAGCCTCCAAAACAGAAAAATACTGTTGTTTAATCCACTCAGTCTGTGGTACTTTGTTTATGGCAGCCCCAGCGGACCAAGACAGAAGGGTACAGAAAAGAGGGGGCATGGAGAGTCAAGGAGAGCCTTTGGACCACCATGCAGATTGACACCGGTAAAAGGGGAGAGATCAGAAAGGAAACTTGGACAGAAAGAGCTTCATCCTGCCAGGCAGCAATGAGAAAGTCTCAGCCGGACTAACAGAGAGCCCAGAATGCAGACTGCCTTTAGAGAAGGCCCCCATGGGACAGGAACAGCCTGCCCCCAGTGCTGTGTGTGATCTCAAGGGATGGCACCTGGGAGCCATCAGGGCCTTACAGTCCTTGTAGCAGGTTATTTTCTGAGGGTGACATCAGCTGCATCCTACTATGGCAGCCCCATTGTGTATCGTGAAAATGCTGGAGAAAGTAATTATGATGGTTCTGATTACTCCCCTTGACACTGCTGCTGTTGCTACTACTACTACTAGGTCCAAATTTGTTCTTTCACTAAATGGAGAAAAAGATGAAGGAGAAAGCAGCAGAGGAGAAAAATAATTCACCTTCATGATGAAATGCTCCACAAATAAGAAACTTTTTATTGAGTGTGCAACAAAAGCTATTACAACCTATTCATATAGGCACAGATTTTATCCCCATTTCACAAATTAGGGAACTGAGACACATAGGATTAAATAACCTATCCAAGAACACAAAAGCAACAGTAGAGTCAGGGTTCTTAGCCAGCCCCCTGCACGGTTAGACACTAGTGGACCCCAGAATTTCACTCTCCAGAAAGATGCTGGAACACAGCCCACTGCTTTATAAAATTATAAGCTGAGGGATCCTCCCCACCCAAATCCTTCCATAACTGGCCTACCACAGATGTCCAGTAATTCACCATTAGTGGCTGTGAATAATACAGACAACGGGAAAAAAAAACAGAGAAGGAAAAAGAAGAGCAAGGTATGAAAAGGCTGAACCTCTCAGGTGAGTCAATATCTTTTAAGGCATCTTCTCAGGAGCTCCACTCAATAACTTCCACTTGCTTTGTCTACCTTTAGCTACAAAGGAGGCTGGGCACTTTGCTGCCAGAATCAAAGTGGAAGAAGAAAGGGAGAATGGATATTGTGCAGGCAACGAACAGTCTGCCCTAGGTGCATGTAATTTCCACTCTAACATGCTGCTAAATGATGAGAAACCTAGGATGGGCTTAAATAATCATTTTCAACTGGTGGGCATGCCTCCTCCCCAACTGAGAATTGTGCTACCAGTGAAGGCATGTTGCTTATGGAAATAAATTATAATCTTTAGGTGTCTTGGTGAGGAGGCAAAAGGTATCTGGTCAGATATATTGAGCTGATATTCAAGCAACCTTGATGTATGAAAAAGTAACCTAAAACTTAAATTCCTTGAACCATCTTCAAATCCTTTGATTGAATAGGTAGCCAAAGAGGTTTTGAGAATATGCCTAGGAAAATAATTGAGATTATAATTGTTTTTCTTTATATGTGAAAATATTTAAATAATTTCATTTATGGTAACTTTCTATTCTCAGGAGTAGGAAATGGGATGATTTATCCTTTAGCTTGAAAATCAGATAACCCAAGCTACTTATATAAATGTGTGTATGTGATTGTGTGTGTGTGTGTGTGTGCATTTTGGTACTAGACAGAATTAAACAGCAAAATCTACAAAATTATGGCGAAGTATTTTTTAAATGTATTAATTTTATGTTATGCGTCACTGTGCTTTAAAAACAAAACAATGTTTTTGTTAGGATCATAGAACCAATGAATGTCAGAGCTGGGAGGCTGCTTAGAGATCATCTTGATTACTTACTCTGAGTATCAGGCCTGTATTGTTCATAGCTCTCCTTCTCTGGTATACTTTCACCTTGTGTGTGCTTGCTTGGAAGCACTTAAACAGCCTACCTATGTTGGGGGCTTTCTCACATTACAAATCTTGCCTTCCAAAGGTAGAAATGAGAATCATTTTCTTTTTTCCAGATTTCTTGGCAACTAGAACACAGGCATTTGATCCAGGCTTCTTTAATCAGACTCTCTCACTTGGGACTTCTATGCAGAAGGGAGCAATGTGTGAGAATAGACATACTGTGGAATCTACTTTCTGGGATGTATGAGGAAAAAACAGACAAGTCCCAGAGGCAGCAGAGACAATGGTCCATGGGAATCACTGCACACATTATCCATGATGCTATATTTAATGTCTGTGTCAAGCAATTGTGACAGCAAAAAGATCTCGCTGGGAGAGACAGCATAATTTGGGCATTTTTCTCAGGTGGATAGCCCCCAAGCCTGGGACTCTGCTCCGTCCTCTTGTAGAGATTCCATCTTTTAATAAATTCATTACCTGCCAAAGGTAGTTAAGGAGAGTTCTTTTATTTACAAATAAATATCACGGAGGATCTACCTTATTTCACAGATGGGAAAGCTGAGACTTGGACAGAATAAGGGAATTATGAATCATAACATCTGGTGATTTAATATGCAACAGAGTGAAATGGGCATGAACTAAGGGATCATAACCAACATGCTAGCCAACAAGTACCAGCAGGAGCAAGGAAATGTATGTGGAAATGAGGCCTAGCATTGCTAGTAAGGGAGAGTAGAACATAAAATTGGATAAAAGCAAGTTTATTTTCATAGGTGTGCTCTCCTGGCAAAGGTCCAAGGAAATAGGAGTAGGAAAGGTCCAAGGAAATGATGACAACACAGACTAGGATGGCCACTAGAAGCCTGGAGAAAGCAATGGCTCAAACAAAGTGAAGTAGAAATGCCAGAACTGTGATGGCAGATGGTGACAGGACAGAGATCAAGAGGCCCAAAGAGTAGCCATGCAAGGATGTACAGATTATGTAAGCCTGAAAACCCAGCAGCAGCTATGTTCTGTGGCAGGACATAGAAAGCATGGAGGATATTATGTTTTACAATACAATGGGGAATACACTGGTGAGCAGGGGACCAGATTCATTGAGAAGCTCAGTGGTGATTGTCCTTTGTAGACCAGGGCTAATAAGAAACACTATTACATGCTGGATTTCCTAATAGCAGTGGGGATGATAGAATATTGACAATAAATCCAAGTGGCAGTGCTTAACTATTAGAATTAAAGCATAATTATATTATTGTTTTTATAGTCATAGTGGAGCTGGGTGTCTGACCTGTAGAAAGCTATAGAAAGAGTTCAAAGAATGAAGCATGCTCAGGAACAAGATAAATGGGAAGCCAACAAGGGCATTGCTTAAACCAGGGGTCAGCAGTCTATAGCTTCCAAGCCAAATCCAGGCCACCACCTGTTTTTGTACAACTTACTAGCTAAGAATTGTTCTTATATTTTTTATTGGCTGAAAAATATCCCCAAAAATATTTCATGACATGTGAACATTATATGATTCAAATTTAGTAACCATAAATAAAGTTTTATTGGAACATAGCCATGCTTATTCATTAATGTATTATCTATGACTGGTTTCATGCTACAATGGAATAGTTCAGTAGTTGTGACAGAGACCTTATTTCCCACAAAGTCTAAAATATGTTTTATATGGTCCCTCACAAGGTAAGTTTTTATGGCCCTTTACAGAGTAAGTAAGTAGTGTAAGCCAACCCCTGGCTTACACCATGCAATCAAAAGACTATCAAGGAGACTTAAACCCATTGAGACATAGTGTTCCAATAAAAACTAAAGTATCCCTTGCCTAGTCTCCAGACCCAAACCAATTTTCAGAAAGAAATCCACAGAGCCAAGTGTCCAGAAAAAAGGACAGGGCAACACTACAGCCAGTGTATATAGTCCTTCAAAAGGACCTATCACCATTAAATCTAGTGAGCTGAGAAAAGAGGAATACTCAGATATTTAACACATGGTAGGAGACAGGGTCTGAGTTGGCACTGATACCTAGGGACCTGTTTTTAGAGTGGGGCATATAGGGAGGCCAGCTAATAAATAGAGTGGGGCATATAGGGAGGCCAGGTAATAAATGGAATATTGGCCCAGGCCTAGCTCTCAATGGATCCACTTGGTTCATAGACCCAACCAGTGGACATTTTCCTAGTCCCTGGCTGCATAAGAGGCATACTTGGTAGTTGGGAGAACCCTCCCACTGGTTCCTTGGCCTGTGAGGTAGAGCTGCTATAGTAGGAAAAGCAAATTAAAGCTTCTGAAACTGGCTAAGACAGTAAATCAAAAATAATGCTGCATTCGACGGTGGAGGGGGGCATAGCAGAAACTAGTGCCAGCTTTAAAACTGAAGGATGCAGAAATGGTGCCCCCATTCTTTTCCCACTTAATTAACAAATGTAAGTTTGGCCTCTACAAAAACCATATGATCCTAGAGAAAAACAGTGGATTACAAACTCAAAGAGGTATTAACCCCCATTGCACACACTGTGCCAAAAGTAATAACTTTATAGAGCACATTAAGGCATGTATGCATTAATCTGCTTGGGTATATGTTATGAAGTCAGTGGGCTAGCAAATGCATTCTTCTCTATTCCTATCAAGAAAATCAGCAGAGGGTCACATTCAGGTAGGATGGGTAACAGTATAAATTTAGACTTGCTAGAACTATGTTAACTTTTCTGTCTATTATAATAGGTTCCTGGGCCTGAACCATTTAGAAATTCTGCAGAATAATACAATGGTTCACTATATAGATGACATCATATTAATTGGACCAAATAAGCAAGAAGAGCTAAGTATATTGGAGAAATTGGTAAGGTACATACTAGGCAGAGGGTGGAAGATTAAACCCTACAAAGATTCATGGTCCTACCACATCAGTAAAAGTTTTAGGGGCCCAGTAGACTGGGGTATTCCAGGATATCTTCTCCAAATTAAGGGACAAATTCTTTCATCTTGCCTCTTCTACTACTGAAGAGGAAACAGAGGTTCTGGGGGCAGTATATGCTAAACCTGGTATGTCAGTTAGGGTACAATCAGGAAAGTTTAATATAAAGAAGTACTAACTTGAGTTGATGAATATGTTAATTAACTTGCATGCATCAAAACATCAAGATGGGGCTAGCCATGGTGGCTTACACGTATAATCCCAGAACTTTGGATGGCTGAGGTGGGAGGATTGCTTGAGCCCAGGAGTTCAAGACCAGCCTAAACAACATAGTGAGACGCTGTCTCTACAAAAAAATGTTTAAAACTTAGCCAGGCATGATGCCACATGCCTATAATCCCAGGTACTTGAGAGGCTGAGGCTGGAGGATTGCTTGAGCCCAGGAGGTTGAGGCTGCAGTGAGCTGTGATCGTATCACTGCACTCCAGCTTGGGGGACAGAGCGAGATTTTGTCTAAAAAATAAACAAGAAAACCCATCAAGGTATACACCTGAATTAATACAATTTTTATTTGTCAATTTTGCCTCAGTAAAGCTCAAAACAATTACTAGTAACAGAGGATTGGATACTAAGGGGTAAATTCATCTCTGAGATGCTTCTGGCTGAGACTGAAAACAGAAAACAGCCTCCTGGGTGTTAAAGAAACTCCTAGAAAGCTTCCAATAAGGGGTGCTGTCGAACCCACTGGGAAGCCAGCTGGAGTCTGTGGGATTCACCAGAAGCTTCCTGTGAGATTCAGCTAAAAGTCCACAAGGTGTTCCTCACAGCTACTTAGCATCCCTGAAGGTAGAAGCAAAGAAGATTCACCAGAACCAGGAACAGAAGCTTCTTTCTCCTGAAGTGACCCTCCAGTGCCCTCTACTGCCAAAGTTTACTATCATGCTAGCTGGCAAAGGAGACGAGCTCACAACATCCAACTCTAGTATCACTGGTAGGGCAACGATGATTTGGAGATGCAAGGTAATAACTTGTTATCAGACACAGTCCACCCCTTTGAATATTCAGCTGCTCTATGCATTCTCCTATACACATTTGAATGTCCATACAATGAAATACATATGCTTTCACCTCACACAATATACTATCCTTTGTACAATTAAAGAAGTTCTCATGCTTTTCTCCTAAATAAGGAGACACATAGTCTCAAAGCTTTTGTATGTATATCCGACTTTACTACTTACTCCTCAAATTTAGACTACTGCTGAATATTCTGTTGCCTAAAGACTAAACTGTAAGTTTACCCCAAAACTTGAAGGTATATGTAATAGTAATGGAAAAAGGAAGGAGAAGAAGTGGTTAGCATATTCAAATAAACTCATAAACAAAACAAGCAAAGATAAAATACTAAAATAGTTCCTGTTTCTGTAAAGTGGTCATAAGGCTGGAACTGGTATCTGTGACTTTCTTCTTCTACTACCCATTCACTATTTCCCTAGCCCTAAACCAGAACCTCGGATGGTCAGTGTTTTTTTGTTTGTTTGTTTGTTTTGTTTTGTTTTTTAACCTGGTGGAGTGAACAAACCCTTACTGTGAAGGGTTTGAGTCCTAATAATCCTGCCCTTCTTTGGTTGCTCTTGTTTTTCATTACCTTTACTACTGGGCAGGGAATCATTAAGAAGCATGCCCCCAGAAAATACATGGACATGGGCTTTTTGGACCCTATTGCCTAGCAGCCCAACTTCTTCTTGGTGATCAGGATCAATCACTTCAGCCAGCAGAGTAAGCCCTTTTCTGGCATTGTTACAATGCTATAAGGAGCCCCAGAAGCCAGGTGGCAGTCTCACTTAACTCAATGGGACTATTGCCGTGTTCTCCTAGAGGAAGCATTCTCCTCTTGGGTACTAGGACCTCTAAACCAGTAGAGTACAAAGATGCCAAGATGGGAAGCAAAATACTGCAAGTGAGTTATTGAGTATCATAACAAGAGGAGCCACTTCCACTTCCACCCATGTATTCAAGAATCCATGTATTCTGGCTGTGGGTAAGAGCACCAAACAGGGGAATCTGATCCAAAGCATATACTACGTCCTATAAGACAGAATCCCATCTTTTCAGGGCATTATCTCCTAAGTGGTGCTGTAACTATGCCTTCAGTGAGTCATTTCACTTTCCATTTAGGCCAGCCACTTCCAGGTGATGGAGTATGTGGTGACACTAGTTAATTTCCATGGGCATACTCTCATGTATTCACTTCCTTTGCTATAAAATTAGCTTCTTGATAAGAAGAAATGCTGTGTAGAATGCCATGATGATGGATAATACATTCTGTATGTCTATGGATGGTGGTTATGGTTAGAAGCATTAGGGACACAGAAGACAAATCCATACCTGGGATATATGTCTATTCGAGTGAGGACAAATAACTGCCTTCTCCATAATAATCAACCTGCCATCTGGTATCTAGCTGATCCCTCCAGAGAGTGGTATCCTATCAGGGGCTCAACACTGATATCTACTTTTGCCAAATGAGGCACTTAGCAGTAGTGCTATCCAGGTCAGCCTTGGTAAGAGAACCTCTATGCTGCTGAGCCCATGTGTAGCTTTCATCCTTGCTGCTCTGATCATGAGCCCATTGAGCAATCACTTGAGTAGCTAGAGAAAGAGGCTAACTGACATCCACAGAGTATGTAATTTTGTTCACTTTGTTATTAAGATCCTTCTCTGTAATGGATGTACTTTGTAGGACATTCAAATGAGCCACAAATATTTTAAGGCCTCCATCCATCTGAGAAGTTTGTCCACATACTTCTTCCCCACACTATCTTTTTACCAATCTCCTAATTCTGTTCCTTTCTAAACCTGACCATCCAACCACTGTTCGTAGCTGCCTAAAGATCAGTGCTGATTTATATTTTTCATCCATCTCTCACTCTAGACAAAGTATAAAACCAAATGTTCCACTTGAAGTTTCACCCAACAGGAGGATTCCTTGAACACCGTCCTTCAGGGTCACCCTTAGTGGGACTACAGTGTTATAACTGTCCACTTTCAGGTGGTACCAGCACAGCATGAGACCTACTTGCAACTAGGCTTGAGTTTTTTCTTTCTTAGTCACCTGATCATAACAAAATCTACAGAAGACCATGAATATGGATTATTGGAGAGGAAGCAATGCAACAGGAATTATTGTTGAAGGATCAAGAGCCATTTGTCATGACTTACTTGTACTTTGTGCACCTGCCTGAGCTCCTTCTTATATAGCATTCTGCCTGATGATGGTTGCACACCTAACTTTATGGCTGAGTCAGACACACCCAGTTCATAATGAGAAGGTCAAGCCACATGGTCATCTGATGTCCCCTTAATTAGGCATTTGGTCCCTACCAAGGCCCCACAACAAACCAGAAGCTGTTTCTCAAAAAGACAATAGTTATTGACAAAAGATGGCATAGATTTACTCCAAAATACCCAAGGTCTATGTTATGATCTATTGGTTCTTGTCAGAGCCTCTATACTGCATTCCTAGTGGCCAAAGGGACTTCAAATTTATTTAATCTGCAGGATCAAAAAACCCAAATGATAGAACAGCTTGCAATGCAGCCTGGACTTGCTACACAGCCCTTGTTTGGTCCTGGCCTCCAGTGGAAATGGGCAACCTTACAAGGTGACTTTGTAGATAGGCTAAAGTAGCCCTCTCATGTGTGGTATATATTGACTCCCAAGTCCAGAAAGGACTACCAAGAATTGTGCCCCTTTTTATGGTGGGTGGCATAAGGTGCAGCAACTCGTATTTCATCTTTGAGGGGGATATCCATACATGCTTCAGATGACTGAACCCCGAGAAACTTCGCTGAGGTGGTAAGTCCCTGAAATTACATGCACTTTATTTCCCACCCTCTAGTTCATATACATTTTACCAAGGCATCAAAATGCATGCTACTTCATGCTCATCAGATCCAAATAGTATAACGTCATCAATGTAGTAGATGAGTGTGATGTTTTGTAGAAGGTCAAGATGAAGATTACCACAGGCTATATTATGACAGAGAGCAGAAGAATTGATGTAGACCTAAGATGTAAAGATGTACTGTTGACTCTGCCAGAAACATACTGCTTCTGGTAGTTCTTGAAAATTAGTATGGAAAAAATATCATTACCCAGGTCAATAGCTGCATACAAACTGCCAAGGGCCATGTCAATTTGCTCTAGTAAAAACACTGTATCTTAGACAGCAGCTGCAATTGCAGTCAATGACCAGTTAAATTAAAATAGTCCACAGTTTTTCTCCAAGATCTTTTCAACTTCTACACAGGCCAAACAGGTGGGTTAAATGGAAATATAATAGGTTTCATACTCCTGCACCTTTCAAATCTTTGATGGTGTCACCATTTTCTGCAATTCTTCCAGGGCTGTGGGTATTGCTTCTGGTTAACTATCTTGGTGGCAAGGAAAAGTTCCAGGACTTCTACTTTGCCCTTTCTACCATAATAGCTCACAACTGATGTATCAAAGAGACATGTAGATATTCCATCTATTCTACCCAGTATATCTTTTTATATTATACATTCAGGAATTGGAGCAAATAACTAAGGAATGAGCCTGGGGATAAACTGTACCTATTATGATTAAGATTTGCACAAAGATTCCATTTATTATATGGTTTCCATAAGCCCCTCACTTTGTGTCCTCAGGAATTAGCTTCAATTCAATGCCAGTATCTAGTAATCTCTCACAGGCTTATGCATTTCATTTTCCTCCAATGCACAGTCGCTGTAGTATGGCCACAGATCCCTTGCAGAAGACTTGGGAGAAGATTTATAGCATATCCTTGTGACAGTGTTACAGGGTCCTTCCTCTAGGGGACTCAGACTTCCCTTCAATCAAAGAACCATGGATCTGTGAATTATCATATGTCTGTAAATGAGTCTGTAACTCACCACTGTGGTGACACAAATTAGATGTTCTGTTTCCAGAGCTAGCAGGTTTTTTTTTTGGTTATATAGGTCAAGCAATATTCTAGTAGATTGTCCATAAATCTTGTTACTAGGGAAAACACAATCAATTAGCCACTGCCAAAGGTTCCTGCAGGCCAAGGCATTCTGATTACCAGTATGTTTCTGCTGCATTTCATGGTAGCAAGGTGCGCTCACCTTGCTTTTAGCAGTTAAATGCTTCCATTTGGCCTCTTCTCCATAACAACATCATCCCTATTGAAATCAAGGAGTACATTGGATGTCCCACAGGCCAGCTGAGAACCACAGGAAGCAAGGAAAACACCCCAGAACTAGAAAGAAAAACCCCTCCCAGATCCATCTACTGGCAAAGCTTCCCTATCTGCAAGCTGTCAAAAGAAAAACATTTATAAGATACAGGTCCAGTATCACAAACGGGTGATAAAGAGTAGATTTGGAGCTGTGAGGCAATAAACTGATCACTGTTACATTCGTCAAATGTTACTTCCAACCATTTATCAAATAACATGGAAAGGTGCCTCCTCTAAGTGGGGCAGAGCTGAAAAGGGCTCTATAGCAGGTTCAGAATATGGTGCAAACCACTCTTATGTGTGGGCTATATAGCAGTGTTAGGGTTTTAAAGATATTTGGATGGAAAAAAAAAAATGGCACTGTATAGAGTTCTGGTAAACCCTAAAGAACAATCACATTATCGATACTAGTGTTGTGAAACAAGGCTATTCCACTGCAGCAGCAAACTCTATACCATTAGAAAAGCTTCTCCTAAATACTACTGGACTCTGGGACATCAAGTGACTATGTGGACAGAATGTCTCATCATGAGCTAAGTTCTTTCAGACTCATCAAGTCATAAGTTCGGGAAGGTCCTGAAACAATCCCACATAGGATGGAAGTAATATACATGGGATCAAGCATGAACAGGGCCAGAGGGCGTAAGTAGGCAGCACAAGCTGGTAACTCAGATTCCCATGACTCTGCCTGTGTTGCACTGGTGCTTCTCCCTCCACTCCCATGTAAGCCACATTGCAGGGAGGTCCCTGTGATCAGCTAGCAGAGGAGAAAAAAGGCCAAGCTTGGTTCATGGGCTGAACAGCTTAATATGTGGATATATGCTAATAATGGACTGCAGCTGCACTGTAGCACCACTCCAGAAATGTCCCAGAAAGGCGATGGTGAGAGGAAATAGCCTCAATGGGCAGAGATTTAGGTGATGCAGATAGTCATTCACCCTGTATGAGATGAAAGGGACCTAGGGACCTGGAAAGAGTAAGACTGGAAGGCCGGGAATAAGGAGGTCTGAGCAAGAGGTATGTGGATGAACTACGTTGAGTAGGAACAAATAGGATCTTTGATTCACATGAGTTTTTTGTTTTGTTTTGTTTTGTTTCTGTGTGTTTGCTTGAGACAGGGTCTCGCTCTGTCGCCCAGGCTGGAATGCACTGGTGTGATCTTGGCTCACTGCAACCTCTACCTTTTGGGCTCAAGCAATCCTCCCACCTTAGCCTCCCAAGTAGCTGGGACCACAGGCATGTGCCATCATGCCCACCAAATTTTTGTATTTTTTTGTAGAGATGGAGTTTCACCATATTGCCCAGACTGGTCTCTTTCTCCTGGGCTCAAATGATCCACCCACATCGGCCTCCCAAAGTTCAGGGATTACAGTTATGAGCTGCTGTGCCTGGCCTTGATTCATATTTTAAAAACCACCAGAGAACATCAACAAGAGAAGAGGTATTGTTAACCAAACAGACAGGATGTGTTGGTAAACTGACATAATCTAATCACTACCATTGGCCACCCCAATGCTGGCACAATGTGACCACAAACGGAATAGCCATGGTGACCTAGATGGAGGCTAGGCATGAGCCCAGTAGTAAGAGTAGCCACTGAGGAAGGCTTATCCAGCTACTGCCAATGCTAACTATACAACCTCTCAGGAAAAGAGACCATAGTGAGCCCCCCAATACAGCCATCATTCAAAAAAATCAGCCAACTATTAGGTGGAAAGTTGGTTAAATTAGATTTCTTCTACCTGAAAGGAGCAATACTTTATCTTCACGCAAATTGAAACTGTTGGTACATATTTGCCTTATCTTCCTATAAGGCCTCAACCACTGCCACTATATGAGGACTCACAGAGTGTTTGGTCTACCAGCAGGGGATCCCATGTAACACTGCCTTAGACCAAGAAAATAAAGCAGTGGGCAAATGACCATGGTCCTATCACATACCATACTCTTAGAAGCTAATGGCCTTATATAGTGATAGAATGGCTCTTTAAAGCTATGCTTGAGGGATCACCTTGGAGATAATATACTGTGAAGATGGGAAATACACCCTGGCTTAGCCCATTTATGCTGCTACAATAGAATATCTGAGACTGGAAAATATATAAACAACAGAAATTTATTTCCCACAGTTCTGGAAGCTGGGAAGTCCAAGATCAAGGTACCAGCATTGGTGTCTGGTGAGGGCTGTTCTCTGCTTCTAAGATGGTGCCTTATTGCCGTGTCCTCACATAGCAGAGGACAGAGGCGCAAGAGAGTGTTTTCTTCAACCTCAAGCCCTTTTATAAGGTTGAGGATCCCATTAATGGGGATGAAGCCTTCATGACATAATCACCTCCCAATGGCCACACCTCTTAAAAGTGTTGCATTAGGGATTAAGTTTCAATATGAATTTTGAAGGGGACACCATCATCCAAACCATACCATACCTTAAATTAATGATCATTCAATGGGCCCCTTCTTGAATACATGGGTCCAGGAACTAAGAAATGGAATAGAGGTGGTTCTGCTTACTGTCACTATCAGAGACCAACTTGGAGAATTTGTGCTTGCCATTTTCAAAACTCTACACTCTGCAGATCTAGAAGTCCTGGTTCCAAGGGAGCAATGCTTCTATCAAAATATATAGCAAGAGTTCTACTAACCTTTAAGTTTTGACTGCCGCACTATCACTTTAGGCCTCTTATGCCAACAAAGCAATATGCAAGGAAAAATATCACCATTCTAGAAGCTGTAAATATAGCAGGACACATATTTGACATCCAGATGATCCCCTCTAGAATCTCTTGGTACTCCCTTGCCAGTTTTGAAGGCAAATGGACAAGTAAAGCTGCCATGGCTTAAAATGGTGACCATAGGCTCAGACTAACCAGAAAAGAGGGTCTGAGTCATCTCACTGGTTAGCCACCTAAAGCAAAAAGGATACTATCTGAAAATGAAAGGAGGGAGGGAAGAAACGAGTATCTGTATGGCTTTGAGATCAGCTACAATACCAGGGGCTTTGGCCCACTCTCCTAATCTTGCTCTGGTAAGTTTATCCAGGAAAGAGACTAATGAATTCTGGAAAAATTGGTGCCAGATTTGATGAACTTATATGAAACTAGGAGGTCTGAATAGTGCATGTAATTAACTGTAGTGGATGCTATGCTGTACCACCAAGATGCATTATTCGGTATCAAATGCTCCATTCCATCGGCATCCAAGACTGTCGTCTGCTGATGATTCAGAGCTGTGTCCCTTCCAAGGGATTTTCCTCAGCCAAAGGGAACTTCCTAGCTCAGGTCTATGACCTGCTCCTTGGGACAGCTTGGAAGATGCAGGATCCTGGGATCAGTTACCCTTTCCACTGTTTGGAACATCTCTGAAAGGTCACCCCAGCTGTGTCATCCTTCTCTTATGTAAGTTACATTTAATAATATAAAAGAAGTTAAATATAAAAAGCAAAAGTAAGAAAAGTGTATACATTAGTGAAATAAGAAAGAAACTTAGGTATTCATATTAATAATAGACAAATTAAACTTTAGGCCAAAAGTATTACTGAAGATAAAGAGGGCCACTACTTTTTGATAAGTGTCTCTCACTGGAGAGACATAACGATTCTAAACTGATGTAAACCTAATTAACAACTTCAAGTTATATTAGGCAAAAATAGGTAGATCAAGCTTTAAAAAAATAGGACGTGGGAGGTGTAAAGAAAACAATTAAATAGCAAGTCTCAATTAATTAGAGAGAATTGGTATGCTACTAAAACATTCTCTGACCACATGTAACTAAATTAAAATTTCAAGTATTCCAAAAAACAGAAACATATAAAATTTACAGACATTTGAAAATGCAAAATTACATTAGAAGCATTAATGGCATATAAGAAATTATAATAGAAAATATTAAAAACTGAATTTCAAAATACTACATATCAAAATTTATGGGATGTGGTGACAACAACATTTACAGGAGAATATATAACTAGGCTTAAATACATATTTTAGAATTTACATATTTTAGAAATAAAAACTAAAAGTAAATGAAGTAGGCATGCGGTTTAATTAAGAAACTATGACTAAGTTGTGATGTCCCCAGGAATTCAAGGTTAACTAACATTGGAACTTTAATTAATGTGGTTGATTGCATTAACCAATTAAAAGAGAAAGATCATGTGACCTATCTTAACAGATGCAGAAAAAAAAAGATTAGATAAAATTCAACATCCACTCGTATTAAACACTCTTACATACAGGAATAGAAGGAATCTCCATAGCCTGATAACAAATATCGAAAAACAAACAAAACAAGCAAAAAACCTCACAATAAAGATTTTAGATAATAATAAAGGGTTAAAGTATTCCACTGGATAATTTGTAAAAACCAGAAATTTATTTCTCACAGTTCTGGAAGGAGGAACGTCCAAATCTGCTGGCAGATTTGGTGTCTGGTGAGAGCCTGGCCTTTGCTTCCAAGATAACGCCTTGAACACTGCATCCTCCTAAGAGGATGGCAATGGCTGTGTCCCTACTTGGCGGAAGAGATAGAAGGGCAAAAGAGGGCTTAAGCTAGTTTTCTCCAGGCCTTTTATAGGGCACTAATCCATTCATGAGGGAGGGGCTCTCATATTTTAATCACTTCCATAAAGACTCCACCTCTTAATACCACCACAATGTAGATTAAGTTTCAACATGAGTTTTGGAAAGGGAAGCATTCAAACAATAGCAGTGAAAGGGAAAATCATGGAGATATACCTAATGCTAAATGACAAGTTACTGGGTGCAGCACACCAGCATGGCATATGTATACATATGTAACTAACCTGCACATTGTGCACATGTACCCTAAAACTTAAAGTATAATAAAAAAAAAGAAGTAGAAATATGGCAAAAAAAAATCATGGAAGGTGTACAAAGGTACGAAGATTGAAAAGGAAAACAAAACAGTTGTTCCTTGGAGACATTATTACTGTCTACAGAGAAAACCCCAAATAATCTACAGAAAAATTATTTTCATTAGCTAAGGAATAATGAATTTCATCCAAATCCTGTAATAGCAGGTTAACCCTTTTTCAGTTAATTCGCTAAAAAAGACAGCCTGAATACTAAGAATTCCACTTTGATAATTCAGGCAAAGATGTTTACATGGTTTTGTTGGTTTGAGAAAGCATCTATGTCCTTACCCTGAAGGCAAGTTGTGCCAGGGTAGAAAGTAGTAGTTTCAGAGCCCTGACAATGTAACTCTCATTCAATAAAATCTAATTTCATCTTTCACTGGCCATTTTCTCGGCATAGAGCCATGAGTGGGGCCAAGGTGGGACCAAGGGCACCCAGGCTTTTGTAGGTGGGATAGAACCTGGTACATTTGAACTCAGGAACTTGTTCTTTCCCTCTTTTGTGCCTGTGGAGCTCTTTGCTGCATAGCCTTTGTAGAGCAGAATTCAGGAGGAAATGATTCTTTTGGAATAACTATGATTTTAGGATTATATAGGAACCATGGAGGTCATAGGAAAATAAAACTGTTAAAATGATGTCAAGGCTCTGATTTAACCCCACTAAACCCAGAGATTTCCAAGTGCTTAAGCAGCTTTATGTGTAAGGGACTATCCATTTAACTTGGTGTAAACTCTCACACAGAGACAGGCTACAGATTTTGCAGGTATCTGTGATTTATCATTATCTTTCTCCCAGGGGTAAAAACAGGCTATCAGCAGCATAGGAACACAAACTGAAAGGACGGAAAATATATAATTGAGGCTCTTTGTTGTTTTACAGGTGAGGAAACTGACCACAAAGCAGAAAACCTAAGTGACTGAAAGAGATGAATTCTGTGGCAAACTGGAGACCATACACCTTATCCAAAGGGAGCAGTATTTACCAGCTATTGCTGATTGTTGCAATTAGAATTGTGGACCTAGTGAGGCCACATCTGATTCTTTCATTAGAAGCCAGAAATCCATACTTTCATGTGAAATCCCTTGATTTTTAAATGTTACCTTAATTTTTAAATTTTTTATTTTTTTTTTATTTTTACAAATACTACACAGGTTATTACAAAGACATCTGTCATCTCTTTCTCAGACTTGGTGTGTAAGCTGCCATTTTATACCTTCAGGAGTAAAATGATTGGCCCAGTTAGGGACAGGACTAGAGAAATAATCCAGTCTCCCAGACTCCAACTCAGGGTTCTTTTCAGTCCAGATTGCCTCTCTAGAACATACCAGATTTTAAATTGATTATTATTTCTTTTAATATGCTTTTAAAGTAAGATATGTCTTTCTTAAGCCTATACATTAAAATGTAAAATTGATAGCAAGGCAGGAAAGGGAAAAGTGCTGAGGAAAAGAAAAGGAATGATACTGCCTTGAATTACTATATTAACACAGAGGTATCTGACTTAATTTTCCATGTATTTAGAAATATAGAGCTTGTATTTCCAGAGAATGTTTTATATTTACAGCTTGTCTGTCTTGTTATACAGCTGCAATATAATTGTTTTCCTGCTGAGAATTATGGCAGTGAAGTTACTCTGGGTCCTATTACAGCTAATTATAGGCTTGCTCAGGAATTTAAAAGCTCCCCTGCAAAGCTCCCTCCTCTCCAGCTATACACAATGGACCTGGAGAGCATTCTGATTCTACTCATGATTGTTTTTCTCAGGTTCCTGCTAGAAATGTGACGTTTGAGTGCTTAGGGCTATAAATGACCAGAAATGAGCCCAAGCTGATTGGAAAAATTCTGACTTCTAATTATGTGAAAATGGAACACTATTGTATAAAAATACATATATTATACATATATGTATATATTTTATATATGTATACGTGTAGTTTTTAAGTGTGTACGTGTATGTGTGTGTGAGTGTGTGTGTGTGTGTGTGTGTGTGTGTGTGTGTGTGTGTATTCTTTTTTAAAATTAGGTCCAGAACTTATATACAGATTCTCCCTGGTCTGAGCTCTGGAAAAAAATGTGAGCTGGGAACACAGCCTCTGTAGGCTCATCACAGTCTGAGCATCTAGATAGATGTATGTAAGCTCAACACAACACATATAAAAATATCTAACTGGTAAGCTTCCTTTGGGCTCAGAATCAAAAGATTAGGGCTCTTTCCGATAATGTCACTTACTACCCCTGGGATATTAAATCATCCCACTATTATTTAAGCTTCATTTTTCTCACCTGTAAAGTGGAGACACTAATGTCTGCCCCTGTGTTCATTCCAAAGTTGATGTGAGGATCCAATTAGATAGATCTAATTAGATCAAGGAAGCTTGCCTCTTGTGGCTACTACTCTCACAGGAACTAGGAGGGTACATGGCAGTTTGAAGAGTAAGGATGAGAAACTAGACATTTACCAGCCTTGGGCATGACAACTAAATAAGCATGACAACTATTTCTATTTGCTGGAGTTGTTGTAGGGGTTAAATGAGATGTTACATGGAAAGTGCTTGGCTCAGTGTCTTCCTCACAGAAGGACCTCATGCTTTTCTCTTCTGCATTCATATTTTATTGAATTACTGAGTCTTTTTTTTAAAATGTATTACCAAAGGGTTATTTGCATATATAGGATATTCAGTAAGATAAGCACTTTTATTTTTTTGATTGTGATCACTGATTTTTATCAAAAACTGAAAGATTTTTGTTCAAAGAAATCAAACAGTGAACAAAAAGTTTCACGGGTTTTGGAAACAAAGGGAAGAAGCTAAATTCCGAACTTTTGATCTTGAAAGTGTCTGTTTTACTGTCTTTCCCATGGCACATCAGAAGAAGAAATGAAGGGGATAAGGAAGTTGGGAAATTTTACTTCGAAAAATTCCTTATGGCAGATGGGGATACTTCTCTCCTAATTTTTTTCTAATCTATTAAATTTAAAATTTATTTTTAATTTTTATCAGTGTAGTATTCTATGTAATTTAGAAAATAAAGAAAAATTCATGGGTAATACATGGAAAAAAAGTCATCCCCTGCCTCACCCCGGCCCTCCCCCAATTCTGACTCCCTGCAGGTAGCCACTTTCAAATCATCAACCTTTCTTCTGTTATTTACCTTCCATATTTCTAAATAACATGCTCATACTGCCATTCCTTGATTTATTTCCCATTTCTGGTATTATTTATTGATTTCCAACTAGGGAAGATGATGATTTAGCTGTTTTATCCCCTCTTTCTTCCCACACCAATTTCCCCTCCCCTCATCCTTCCAATAATATATAACACTTCTTAGATTAATAAATAGTAGTGCTCAGATCATTATTACTCTGGTTACTTCTTAACAGATGCACCACACCATGTTTAATGGTTATAATTCCTTTCTAATATAAAATGTGTATTTCCAGAAGTGAATAATTGCCTATTTTATTTTATTTTTTGAGATGGAGTCTTGCTCTGTCACCTAGGCTGGAGGGCACTGGCATGATCTTGGCTCACTGCAACCTCTAATTTTTGTATTTTTTGTAGAGACAGGGTTTCACCATGTTGGCCAGGCTGGTCTCAAACTCCTGATCTCAAGTGATCTGCCCACCTTGGCCCCCCAAAGTGCTGAGACTACAGGCCTGAGCCACTGTGCCTGGTCAAATAACTGCCTTTGATGTGTTTGCTGAGCTTTCCATGTTTGTATTTCCAACACTGCTCCAAATTTTAGATCCTCAATCGGGTCTAACACACCAGGAAATTTATCAAGTTCATTTTTTTTCCTCCTAGAGGCATCCCTCCTGAAACTCTCCACCCACAGCTAGCCACATAAGTATTACCCTGAAACTTTACTTCTGGGAATTCCTCACTCCTATGTTGGACCCCCCGCTTCATTTCCTGTCTTTTTAAAAACTTGCTCTCTCATTTGGGAGATCACACTCCAATAGCTTCTTGACAAAGGAGGCTTTGTAGATAAATGTTTGAGAACTTTCTTTACTAAAAGTATTGTTGGTTACACCTTCTCTTTTAGTCTCATTGGATATATGACTCTAGGTTGTCAACCATTTTTGCACAGAATTATAAAAGCATTATCCCATTACCTAGCTTCCAGTTATGTCAGTGAGCAGTCACATTCTCAAATGATTCTCAACTTCTCTCTGAAAGTTGTGAGAATCTTCTCTTTATCCCAGGTGATCTCAATCTTTTATGTGTGCACTCAGGGACCCTCTAATTTGAAATGTGATGTGTGCTTCATTTCTGGGAAATCATCCTGTATTTCTTTTCTAATTTACTCCCATCAATTTATTTGCTCTCCCAGTCTGAGTTAATTGATGTCAAGTGCTAGTCCTCTTATATAAGTTTTCCAATTTATAAATCTTTTCTCATATTTTTAATTTTATTTTTTGAGACGGAGTCTCGCTCTGTCACCAGGCTGGAGTGTGGTGGCACAATCTCAGCTCACTACAACCTCCACCTCCCAGGTTCAAGCAATTTTCCTGCCTCAGCCTCCCAAGTAGCTGGGACTACAAGATGGGACTACACGATGTTGGCCAGGATGGTCTCGATCTCTTGACCTCGTGTTCTGCCCGCCTCGGCCTCCCAAAGTGTAAATATTTTTTATTCTGTTTTATAGGATATCTCATAGCTTTATCTTCAAACTTTTCTACTGAAATAATTTCCATTATATTTTTAATTTCCAAAAGCTTTCTTCTTTCACGTTTTAAAAATTCTTTTATTTTTGTTTCATGGATGTAATTCCTTCTCTTATCTAAGAATTTAGTTATGATTGCTTTTATTTAAGTTCTGTTTTGATCTCTGACGTGTCTGTTTTCTCTTACATTTTTTATGGTTTCTCTTACATTCTTATGATTCTATGTCAGGTTAACTTTGGTTATTCAGTCATTCTTAAGAGATAGGCATTAAAATGCAGATAAGAAACTTGTTGCAACACTAGGGCATTATAGGTTGAACAAGCAAGGACCTTGAATTTCCTTGGGAGAGCTCTTGACATCAGCACCACTTTATAGTATTCATGAACAAGTTCTCCTCTAGTGTCCTGCCTGGATTATATAAGCCTGGTGCCAGCATTCTGAGAACCTAATGGTCAGAGAGTGGCAGAAAGTCTCAAGACTCAACTATGCAGCCATCCTGTTTTGTCTTAGCTGTGCCTGACCTCCTAGGGGTAGAAAGCTCTCTGCTTTAACTTCTCCAGAAGTTAAACCTCTTTCTTTACCAGTTGGGATGAGTAAAGGATATTAAGCACTATTATTGTTATTCCTCTTTCAGACTTTCCATCAATCCCTGATTTTAGTCCCATTCTGAATCATCAGCTTGAGAGAGAGACATTGTACTTCAAATTCCATAGATTTTCCAGAGTTATTCAGCTTGAATCACATGCTTCCCACCTGAAACTTCAAGGCAGAGAGGTTATAGCTTTCTTCAGTGTAAGTTAATTACCACTCATTTATCTATCTCTGTCTTCCAAACTCTGATTGACATTGGTCTAAATCTCCTCTACCATCTGGTTGTTCACAGGGATTTAAACCTTGTTAATATATTGTATCAGTTCAGGCCCTCTGAGAACCAGAAAACAAGATGAAATTGGTCATGCAAGAGATTGGAGGAAACATCTATAAAAGATAAGGGGGAAAAAGACTGGGAAGGGAGAACCTTTAGGTTGTAATGGAGTTCCAACACCCGTGAAAGGAGAGATGGAGGGAAGGAATATTGGGTAAAAAGAGCATCTGACTACAGCGTAATTCTAACAAAGCCTTGGAGAGGAAAATGTGGAGTCCCTATACAAAGAGAGCCCATAAGAGAAGTCCTGCGTTCGGCGTAAGTGGCCTGGCTCTAGTTCCCTGCTATACTCAGTCATTGCCTGAAACACCCCAGTGAGAACACTGTTTCAGTGTGAATGACACAATGGATCTGAAGGTACAACAGCTGGTGCCTCTTAGCCAATTACAGTCCGCACACCACGTCTGCTTTAAGGGAGATCTAAGTGGCACACCTTCATTGCCATAATATTCAGTCACTCATCTTTCTAAAAAGCTACTGAAGTTGGCTAAGCACATATTACTCAGCTGAAATCACAAGATGGCTTCAGGAACAGTATAATTACTACATTCCAGCTAACCTTACCTGCCCTCCAACAAGCTCCCTAAAACTATATGCAAAGGTTTCAAGAAAGGGTTTACCATTTAAAATGAGAAAACAATTTTTTTAAATCAGAAAAGTAACTGAGATGTCTGCAAGATGTCTGAGTAAAGGCAACTAGCACTTGTCCCCCTCACAACAAAGGACTTAGGCAACAAATAAACAACTAAAATTCAACTGAGTGTTAAGAGAGTGGTAGAATACAGCAAGAAAGTGTCAGGATTCCTGGATTCCTGTGGTTCTGGTAAGCCCAGGCTGACAGCATACAGATGGGAATGAGGCCTGGCCTATACTGCCCCATCTCCCCCCATAAGATCAGCCCAGAGTCAGGATGGACATACTCTTGTGGGAAAAAAAAATAAGTAGAAAACCCCTGCCAGTCCCAGTGCCACTGCAGACACCTGCAGTCCTTCCTACAAGATAATCCCATAGTGCTCATGAGCCCTGAGCCCTATTTGGGGAGTTGCCTAAATTTATGCACTGCTATGAATTGTATAACTATAGCACAGTACTATTTTGAAATCAGAGAAACTGTTGGAGTTCACCCTGCTCTGGGAGCCAGCAGTCACTGTGCCTCTTCAGCCCTTGGACTCTGCCATTATTCCACCAAGCCCAGATGAATGGCTGCAGTGCTACAACACCAGCCATGCAGAGCCTTGGCCCATGAATGACTGTGACTGCAGTCCTGCAAAGCAGGAAGACCAACGTCAGGCTGGGTGAACCACCATGCACCCATGCTCCTAGCCAGAAAGACAGCATGGGGGACCCACCCCTGATCTGGTCAAGCAGCAGTGGCCTATGCCCCAGGCTGAAATAACAACCTGGTGGCCCCAATCAGCCAGTCCCTAAGCCAGCTGAAGTATCATGTGCATGTATGCTCCCCTAGCTGGAGAAAACACCCAGTAAGCCCAACCCTAGTAAACCTGCGCCACTGCTGCCACAGACTTCTGCAGCCTGAAACTCCAAGGCATTTGTATTAAGCCATTTTCACACTGCCGATAAAGACATACAAGAGACTGGGCAATTTACAAAGAAAAGAGGTTTATTGGACTTGGTTCCACATGGCTGGGGAGGTCTCACAAAAATGGCAGAGGGTAAAAGGCACGTCTCACATGGCAGCAGACAAGAGAAGAGTTTGTGCAGGAAAACTCCCCTTTTTAAAACCATCAGATCTCATGAGACTCATTGACTATCAACAGAACAGTGCAGGAAAGACTGCCCCCACAATTCAATCACCTCCCACCCACTGGGTCCCTCCCATGACACATGGGAATTGTGGGAGTTACAATTCAAGATGAGATTGGGTGGGGACACAGCAAAACCATATCAGCATTCATAAACATTTCTAACAGGAATTACAAGTAAAGAAACTGCAAGAAGAACACATTATTGCATTGATCTAAAAGCAAAGCCACA
This sequence comes from Homo sapiens, assembly GCF_000001405.40. Classification (NCBI taxonomy): domain Eukaryota; kingdom Metazoa; phylum Chordata; class Mammalia; order Primates; family Hominidae; genus Homo; species Homo sapiens. Next base: position 155,683,691 of record NC_000005.10, on the reverse strand, counting down.
AACCTGATACAACCAACATCTTAGGACCCAAATGTGGAAATGTCTTTCCCTAAGAAACCTACCTTATAAAACTGGAAAAGGCAACTTTCACCACATGTGCAGATATCAATATTGAGACAAAATAAACATGAAAAAGGAAGTAAACATGGCACCCCTGAAGGAATACAATAATTTTCCCATAATAGACCCAAAAGAGCATATATAAAATACCAAAAATCAAAATAGTGGCTTTAAGGAAACTCAGTGAGATAAAAGAGAATACAGTTACAGAATTCAATAATATCAGAAAAACAATTAATAATCTGAATGAAAAAATCAACAAAGAGATAGATATCATAAAAATGAACCAAATAAAAATATTAGAGCTGAACAATTGAATGAATTAAATAAAAAATACAATCAAGAGGCTAGGTGTGATGGCTCACACCTATAATCCCAGCACTTTGGGAGGCCAAGGTGAGCAGATCACCTGAGGTCAGGAGTTTGAGACCAGTTTGGGCAAGATAGTGAAACCCAGTCTCTATAAAAAATACAAAAAACTTAGCCAGGTGCATGCCTGTAGTCCCAGCTACTTGGGAGGCTGAGGTGGCAGGATCACTTGAGCCTAAGAGGTCGAGGCTGCAGTGAGCCAAGATCACACCACCGTTAGCAGCCTGGGTAACAAAGTGAGACCCTGTCTCAAAACAAACAAACAAACAACAGCTTCAAAAACAGATTAGACCAAGCAGAAGAAAGAATTTTTGAACTGGAAGATAAGCTTTTTGAAGTAACACAGGTACACACACACAAAAGAAGAAGAATAATTTTTTTAAATGAAGAAAGCCTACAGGACTTATGGGACACTATTTAGCAAATGAACATTTGCATTATGGGGATTCAAGAAGCAGAAAAGTTGGGAAAAGTCATAGAAAACCTACTTAATGAAATAACAGCTGGAAAACTCTTAAATGTTGGTACCTCCAGATCTAGAAAAGGCAAAGATTCCCAAATAGATTTAACCCAAGCAGGTCCTCTCCAAGGCATGTTACAGTCAAACTGTCAAAAGTCAAAAGCAAAAACAAAATTGTAAAAACAGCAAGAAAAGAGTGTCAAGCTACATATGAAGAAATTCATATTAGACCACCAGAAGATTTCTCAGCAGAAAACTTACAGACCAAGAGAAAATAGGATGATATATTCAAAGGGCTAAAACAAGGTCAAGTGCAGTGGCTTATTCCTGTAATCCTAGTATTTTGGGTGGCTGAGGCAGGCACATCACTTGAGCTCAGGCATTTGAGATCAGCCTGGGTAGCATGGTGAAACTCTGTCTCTAAAAAACAAAACAAAAAAAGAAAAAGAAAATTAGCCAGGTGTCATTGCATGCTCCTGTAGTTCCAGCTGCTTGGAAGGCTGAGGTGGGAGAATGGCTTGAGCCCAGGAAGTGGAGATTTCAGTGAGCTGAGATCACACCACTGCACTCCAGCCTGAGTGATAGAGCCAGACCGTGTCTCAGAAAACAAACAAAAAGTGCTAAAATAAACAAAAAACAAGCAGCCAAGAATACGGCACCAGCAAAGCTATGCTTTAGAAATAAAGGAGAAATAGGGTGTTTCCCAGATAAGAAACAACTAGGAATTTATCACTACTAAACTGACTTTACAAAAAATACTTTAGGGAGTCCTACACCTGGGATCACAGTGAAGACAAATATCATAATGAAAACATACAAAATTATAAAATTCACTGATACAGCAGATAAATAAAAGGGAAAGAGAAAGGAATTTTATCACTACAAATAAAGGAAAACACCAAATCACAAATATAATAAGACAGGACGAGAGAAACAAATGGTATACAAAACAACCAAAAAAACAATAAAATGATAGGAGTAAGACACCTCACCTATCAATTATAACCTTGAATGTAAACAAATTACATTCCCCAACTAAACGATATAGATTGGCCAAATGGATGAAAAAATAAGATGCAACTATATGCTGCCTACAAGAAACTTATTTCACCTGTAAAGACACACTGACTGAAAGAGAAGAGATAGGAAAAAGATATTCCATGTGAACCGAAACCATAAGCAAACAGGAGCTGGTATACTTATATCAGAAAAAACAGACTTTAAGTAAAAAACTTTAAAAGAGACAAAGAAGAATATTATATATTTATGAAATGATAAATTCAGCAAGAAGATATAACAACTATAAGTATATATGCACCCAATAATGAAACACCCAGATATAGAAAGCAAATATTATTACATCTAAAGGAAGAGTTAGACTCCAATAATAGTTGAGGAGTCCAACATCCAACTCTCAGCATTGGAGAGATCATCTATAGAGAAAATCAACAAAAACATTTAATATAACTACACCATGAACCAAACAGATGTGAGACATTTCCAGTTCATTTCACACAACAGCTACAGAATACACATTCTTCTCACTGGCAGATGAAACATTCACCAGGATTGACCATATGTGAAGGCAGAAAACAAGTCTTAAATGATTTTTAAAAATCTAAATCATATCAAATATATTTTCCAACCACCATGGAATAAAACTAGTAACAAGAGAAACATTTATAACTGCACAAATACATGAAAATTAAACAACATACTCCTCAACGACCAATGAATAAAGAAAAAATTTTAAATTCTTTGAAACAAATAATAAAAACACAACATACCAAAACCCATGGCATACAGCAAAATCAGTATTAAGAGCCAGCTTTATGGCAATAAAGCCTTACAATAAAAAGTAAAGGGATTTCAAGTAAAGAACCTATGGATTCACTTCAAGGAACAAGAAAAGCAAAAACAGAACAAACCCAAAATTAGTAGAAGAAAAGAAATAAAAATTAGGGTAGAAATAAAATTGAAACAAAATATTTTTAAAAATGAAATGAAAGTGTGTTTAGATAAACAAAAATCAACTCATCAGCTTTACTAAGAAAAAAGAGAGAATATCCAAATAAATAAAATCAGAAACAAAAAAGGAAACATCATAACAGATACCTCAGAAATACAAATAATCATTATAGATTATTAAAAGCAACCATATGCCAATAAATTGGAAAACCTAGAAGAAATGAACAAATTCCTGGATAAATCTACTGCAATTGACCAAGAAGAAATAGAAACACTTAACAAACTGATAAGAATTACTGAGATTGAATAAGCAATAGTCTCCCACAAAAGAAAAGCCCAGGACCAGATAGCTTCACTGCCAAATTCTACAAAACTTACAAAAAAGAACTAACACCAATTCTCCTCAAACTAATTCAAAAAAATGAAAAGAAGGGTCTTCTTCCTAACTCATTCTAGGAGGTCAGCATTATCTTGATACCAAAACCAGGCAAAGACACAACAAAGAAAGAAAACTATGTTCATCAGTATCCCTGATGAACATAAACACAAAAATCCTCAAAAAATACTAGCAAATTAAATCCAATAGCACATGAAAAAGATAATATACTATTGAGATGGAATATTTCCCTTGACCCCCTTAGTAGGCAGAAACTGGAGTGCCTCGTTTCACCAAGCCTGCAGTCTGTGGACAGCTAAGTGTTAACAACTCAGGGAAGGGTCAGGGTGACAGCCTCCTGCACCTGCCCTTTTTTGTACCTGAGTTCTTGTTCGGTGTCCAGGTAGAATCAGGTCACATGAACTATTTGAAGGTTGGTGTATGCAGAGGATTTTATTGGGTGATAACACTGGCTCTCAGTTGGATGGGGAATTGCAAAGGGAATAGTGCAGGAAGAAGGTAATCTCTCCCTGAAGCTGAACTGTCTGAAGTTAGCCATGTCTATCCATAGTCTCTGATGACCAGCTGCAGGTATCCCTGATGTTCAGAAGCTTGCATCCCCCAACTACTTGCATCAGCTGCTTGTGTTGCTCTTTCAGCTGAAGTCTTTTTATGGGCACTGGATAGGGGTGTGGCAGGCCAAAAAGGCAATCATTTTGGTGGAAAAGCAAAGTCAGCTGTTTTCACTTAGGGCCAAGGTTCCAAGCTTAAGGGTGGAGCTTAGTTGGAAGGCCAGCCCTTCAGGGTCAGCTGTTTTTACTTAGGGCTGAGGTTCCAGGCTTGAGGGTCGGGTTTAGCTGGGAGCCCAGAGCCATTCTGTATCATTTTCACCCTCTGAAGAGGCATATCTAACTGCCTTTAGAATATGGATGATGACCAGTCTTAGCTACTTCCTGCTGAAAGGGGGCATTGTTTGGGGAAAACCGCAGTCAGATTCCTCCCAGACGTCTACCTAAGGATCACTGGCAAAAGGGAGCCATTGTCCGAGGCTCCGGCTTCCTGCCCATTTGGAGCCTTAATGACATCTAGGTGAGAGAAAAAACAAACTTTACAAGGTTAACTATGCATGGATCAAACATATGTATTATAGAAGGAAAGAATCTAGTGCCAAGGGTTACAGAAATAAGATGTAAAATATACTAACAACATTTTATCCTAAGCTGTTTCACCCTGGTAAAAGAAATTAAACCTTGTATGGAAGTGGTTCAAATTTATGAGAAAGATAACTGTTCTTGCAACATCTGAAGCAGTTAACAGGTGAACCTTAGGAATTCCGGGGTTTGTAGGCTTGCATTGTGGCCATTAAAGCTTCTGCCTCTTTCTTACGTCTGAAAGACTGAGGTGGCCACTTTCAGGAGGTTCCTTTCTAGAGAATTCTGGGGTTTGTGGGCTTGCATGGTGGCCATTAAAGCTTCTTCCTCTTTCTCACGTCTAAAAGACTGAGGTGGCCACTTTCAGGAGGTCCTCTAAAGTACCATCTGGTCCCAGGGTCCATTTCTAAGTATAAACTGGAGGTGGTAAAGTTTCTTGGTTGCCCATTCTGAAAGACAGGGAATTCAATGTCCTTCATTCCCTTCCTTCTTTCAGTGAAAACTTGGGGTGTGAGGGAGAAAGAAAATGGGCATTCCCCCTTTTGTGTCCTTATCCCAGAGTCCTGGCAGTGTTGGCATGTGCCACCCATGGGTGCCAATGTGACATGCACTCATTAAGCAGGAAAGGCCTAGAAAATAGGAATTATTCACACTCACCAGTGCCTGTACCTCCCCTACTGTCAACAACTTCTGAGTTTCCTGGACCTCACTTATGCCATAAAGTATGGCCTCCTTCCATGAAGCAGGAGTTTAATTAGCAGGAATTGGTCCTGCCTGTTTACACTGTGCTTGTTTTGTGGCTTTGGATCCCTCAGATCTGGTTTTCCTTTCTAGGGCCTCAACCTGAAGCTTGGAATCAAGTTTGAGACATAAAAATTATTTCACGAGGTACATAGATTCATTTAGATTAAATCCCATGCGGGCTTTGCCAAACTTGCAGTTAACAGTCAGCAGGGGTTCCTCCTCTGTTGTTTCCCTAACATAAGCAGAGTGCTGAGGTAGAAAGAGAACTCTCTTTCCCTATCGTAAGCAGAGTGCTGAGATAGAGAACTCTCTCACTTAGAAAAGAAGAAAAACAACTCAACTTAAAGTGCATAAGTTGGGGAGCCTGAGGGAAGAGACTCTTGCTCTGTGAAAATGGGTTCCTTCAATCATTGTATCCTCCCCTAGTTCAGTCTAGCTAGACCTCCCTGAAGGGAAACAGAGCCAGCATTCCTTTTACCCAAAGGAAAGAGCATGGTGACAGGGTCTTGGAAAAGAGACAGATCCAAGAGTTCCACATTTTAACTCACCACTTTTCATATCCTGGATGAGCCCCGAAATGAGACAGGATGTTTCCCTAGACCCCCAACCCCCTTTGTGGGCAGGAACTCAGCCTGCAGTCCATGGACAACTAACAGCCCAGTGATGGGTCAGGGTGACAGCCTCCTCCACCTGCCCTTTTTGACAACCAAGTTCTTCAGTGTCCAAGAAGAATCAGGTCACATGAACTATTTGAAGAGTAGTATATTTTATTGGGCGATAAAAGTGGCTCAGTTGGATGGGGAATTGGAAAAGGAATGGTATGGGAGGAAGGTGATCTTTCCCTGAAGCTGCACCATCTGAAGTTAGCCATATCTATCCATAGTCTACAACACTCAGCCGCACGTATCGCCAATGTTCAGCAGCTTGCATCCTTGACCACTTGCATAAGCCACTTGTGTTGTTCTTTCAGCTGAAGTCTTTTTATAGGCACTGGATAGGGGTGTGGCAGACCAAAAAAGGCAATTATTTGGGCAGAAAAACAAAGTCAGCTGTTTTCACTTAGGGCTAAGGGTCCAGGCTTAAGGGTTGGGTTTAGCTGGGAGCCCAGCTGTTCTGTATCACTATGATCAAGTGGGATTTATCCTGTGAATTTAAGAATGTTTCAACATATGCATTCTGTTGATGCATCACATCAACAGAATGAAGGACAAAAATCATCTCAATGAACACAGAAAAGCATTTGATAAAATTCAATATTCCTTCATAATAAAAACTCTCAACAAAAGGAACATACCTCAACATATTAAAGGCCATATGAGACAAACCCACAACTAACATCATACTGAATGAGGGAAAGCTGAAAGCCTTCACTCTAAGAACAGGAACAAGAAAAGGATGTTTACTTTCAACACTCCTATTCAACACAGTACTGAAAGTTCCACCTGGAGCAATCAGGTAAGAGTTTGGATTTTCTAATCCAAATTAGAAAAGAGGAAGTAAAACTCTCCCTCTTTGAAGATCACATGATCTTATATTTAAAAAAATCTAAAGATGCCACCAAAAACTCTTAGATCTGTTAAATAAATTTAGTAAAGTTGCAGGATACAAAACATACAAATGTCAGTAGCATTTCTATATATCAACAATGAACTAGCTGATGCAGAAGTCAAGAAGGCAATCCCATTTACAATAGCTACAAAAAATAAAATATGTAGGAATAAATGTAACCATGGAGGTGAAAAACCTGTACAAGGAAAACTACAAAACACTGATGAAACAAATTGAAAATGACCATACTATACAAAGCAATCTAAACATTTACTTCAATCCCTATCAAAATACCAAAGTTATTTCTCACAGAAATAGGAAAAACAACCCTAAAATTCCTTTTAAATTAAAAAAGAGCCCAAATAGCCAAAGTAATCCTGAGCAAAAAGAAAAAAATTAAAGACATAACACTACTAGATTTCAAAATATATTACAAAGCTATAGTGAACAAAACAGCACGATATAGGTACAAAACAGACCACATAAGCCAATGGAACAAAATAGAGAACTCAGAAATAAATCCACATATTTCCAGCTGACTGATTTTTGACAAAAATGCTAAGAGCATACATTGGGGAAAGGACACCCTCTTCAATAAATGGTGCTGAGAAAATTGGATATCCATATGCAGAAGAATGAAACTGGAGCCCTATCTCTCATCACATACAAAAATCGTCTCAAGATGGACTAAAGACTTAAACATAAGACCTGAAACTATAAAACTACTAGAAGAAAACCTAGGGGAAACCCTTCAGGACATTGGCCTAGGCAAAGATTTTATGGGTAAGACCTTAAAAGTACAGGCAACAAAAGCAAAAATAGACAAATTGAATTATTTAAATTTAAAAGATTCTGCACAGCAAAGGAAACAATCAACAGAGTGAAGAGACAAGCTGTTGAAAGACAGAAGATATAAAAAATTACTCACAAGGGACTAATATCTAGAATATATAAGGAATTCAAACTGAACAGTAAGAAAACAAATAATCACATTAAAAATTGCCATATCTCAAAAGAAGACTTACAAATAGCCAAAACATATATAAAAAATGCTCAACATAATTAATCATTAGGTAAATGCAAATCAAAACCACAATGAGATATTTTACCACAATTAGAATAGCTACTAATAAAAATACAAATAAAACCCAAACCAGATGCTGACAAGGATACAGAGGAAACAGAACTCTTACACACTGTTAATGGGAGTGTAAATTAGTACAGCAATTATGAAAAACAGTATAGACATGATGCAAAAACAATTGAACTGCCATATGATCAAGCAATCCAGCTACTGATTATTTTTCAAAGGAGAGGAAATCAGTATATCAAAAGGATATACTCATGTTTATTGCAGCACTATTCACAATAGCAAAGATATTGAATCAACCTAAGTGTTCATCAGTGGAGAAATGTCAAATACACACAATGAAATACAATTTAGACATAAAAAAGAATGAAATCATGTCAGTGGCAGCAACATAGATTGAACTAGAAATCATGTTAAGTGAAACAAGCCAGGCAGAACAGAAAAACATTGCATGTTCTCATTTATTTGTGGGATCTAAAAAAGTTGATCTCATGAAGGTAGAGAGAGCATTAGAGATACTAAAGGCTGGGAAGTGTTTGTGGGTGGGTGGGGGAGATAAAGAGAGGTTATTTAATGGGTACAAGCATACAGTTAGATAGAAGAAAAATGAGTTTTAATGTTTGAGAGCAGAATATGGTAGCTATAGTTAATAATACTGTACTGTATATTTCAAAATAACTAGAAGAGAGGACTTGAAATGCTCCTAACATATAGAACTGATAAATACCCAAGGTAATGCATGCCCTAAATACCCTAACTTGATCATTACACATTTTATGCATAAAACAAAATATCACATGTACCATAATATGTACAGATATTATGTATCAGTAAAAAAACCTACAAATAGAACTACCATATGATTTAGTAATCTAACTACTGGGTATATACCCAAAGGAAATAATATATCAAAGAAATATCTGCACTTGCATATTTATTGTAGCACTAGTCATAATCACCAAGATAAGAAATCAGGCTAAGTGTCAATCAATGGACGAATGGACAAATTAAATGTGGTATATATACACAAGGGAACATTACTCAGCCATAAGAAAGAATTAAATCCTGTCATTTGTGACAACATGGATAAGCCTGGAGGACATTGTGTTAAGTGAAATCAGTCAGGAACAGAAATATAAGTACTGCATGTTCTTACTCATATGCAGAAGCTGAAAAAGTTGATCTCATATGTACGTTGGTGCAAAAGTAATTGCAGTTTTGCACTGTTGAAATTTGCTGCTTGATATTAGAATACATTCTAAAATAAATGTGGTTTATTTATCAAATGTGTGTTATATATCATTTTAATGTGCATTTCTCACTTTATTTTTTTTTGCTAATGACTTATTACTTGCTATTTATTTTATATTTATTTTAGATTATGGAAATTATGTTAGATAAAAAGCAAATTTGAGCAATTTTCTGATTGAAGTTCAAAATGGGTTGTAAACAGCGGAGACAACTAGCAACATGAACAACACATTTGGCCCAGGAGCTAATGAACGTACATTGCAGTGGTGGTTCGAGAACTTTTGCAAAGGAGACCAGAGCTTTGAAGGTGAGGAGCACAGTGGCTGGCCATAGAAAGTTGACATTGACCAGTTGAGAGGAATCATTGAAGCTGACCCTCTTACAACTACACGAGAAGTTGCCAAAAAACTCGACGTCGAACATTCTATGGTCACTCAGCATTTGAAGCAAATTGGAAAGGTGAAAAAGCTCGATAAGTGGGTGCCTCATGAGTTGACCAAAAATTTTTAAAATCATCATTTTGAAGTGTCATCTTCTCTTATTCTACAGAGCAACAATGAACCATTTCTCAATCAAATTGTGACATGTGACAAAAAGTGGATTTTATGTGACCACTGGCAATGACCAGCTCAGTGGTTGAACCAAGGAGCTCCAAAGTGCTTCCCAAAGCCAAACTTGCACCAAAAAAAGGTCATGGTCACAATTTGGTGGTCTGCTGCCGGTCTGATCCACCTAAGCTTTCTGAATCCCAGTGGCACCACTACATCTGAAAAGCATGCTCAACAAATCGATGAGATGCACTGAAAACTGCAACACCTGTAGCCAGCATTGGTCAACAGAAAGGGCCCAATTCTTCTCCACAACAGCACCCAACTGCACATTGCACAACCAATGCTTCCAAAGTTGAACGAATTGAGCTACAAAGTTTTGCCTCATCCACCATAATCACCTGACCTCTGGCCAATCAACTACCACTTCTTGAAGGATCTTGACAACATTTTGCAGGGAAAATGCTTCCACAACCAGCAGGATGCAGAAAATATTTTCCAAGAGTTCATCAAATCCTGAAGCACTAATTTTTACACTACAGGAATAAACAAAATCATTTCTCATTGGCAAAAATCTTAATGGTAGTTGTGCCTATTTTGATTAGCAAAGATGTGTTTGAACCTACTTATAGTGATCTAAAATTCATGTCTGAAACCTCAATTTTTTTTTTTTGCACCAACCTAGAAGAATAGAAGTAGAGAGTAGAATAGTGGTTACTAGAAAATAGGAAGGGTAGGGGAAAGGGTGGATCAAAAGTGATTGGTTAAAGGATACAAAATTACAGCTAAATAGGAGGAACAAACTTTAGTGTTTTATAACATTGTAGAGTGAATACAGTCAACAATTATTTTCAAATACTTGGAAGAGAAGAAATTATGTTTCCAACACAAATGATACATGTTTGATGTAATGGATAATTACCCCGATTTGATCACTAATGTGCTATACATTGAAACTCACTATGTACATCATAAATGTCTACAATTATTATGTGTTCATTTTTAAAAATAAAAAAAATTTCACCAGAAGAAAACTTGTATGTTATTAGTGTCTTCCATTTAATTTCAGACATTTCAGTGTGACAAAACAAAGACAGGAGGTTATTTGCCATCTAGAGTAAAACTTTAAGACTATGAAATAATGCTATGTATTACAGTCTAGATTCCTCAGTGACCTCTGAGAAATTTCTTCATCTTAACATGTGAGATGAAATCATCTTATTTTAATTTTAGTTCTATGAGTAAACAATTCAAAAAGTACAGAAGAAGCAGAAAGTTCCTTTACCCTCCAATCTTTCCTTCCCCCAACAAGGAGACAATCATTTGTGTTGAGTATAACCTACTAGACTATTTTTTAATCTCTGTGTATGTGTACGTGTGTGTATGTGTGTGTGTGTGTGTGTATCTCTACAGATAGATAGCCTATCTGACAGATATTATTATTTTGCTAGTTATTTTCAAACATTAATTACATCTACTGTAAATATTTTTCTTTTTCTACATAGAAATAAGTTTTGAACTCTTAATATGTCACTGCATACAGATATTTCTCATTCTTTTGTTTCCTGCAAAATATTTCTTCACTTATATACTTATTTTAAAAGAGATTACTTAAGGACATTTAAGTTGATTCTTGCAGTAATAAACAATGCTTCAAGGTATACCTTTTTACATGACTCTATGCATACATGCCGATGTCTTCTGTAATAAATAGCAAGATGTGAAATTTCTGGTTTTAAGAATTTGTGCACTCAAAATGCCGAGGCACTGTATTAGTCCATTTTTATGCTGCTGATAAAGACATACCCAATACTGAGTGATTTACAAAAGAAAGAGGTTTAATGGACTTACAGTTCCACGTGGCTAGGCAGGTTTCACAATCATGGTGGAAGGTGAAAGTTTTTCTTACATGGTGGCAGCAAGAGCGAGAATCGGAAGTGCAAACCCCATATAAAACCATGAGCTCTCGAGACTCATTCACTAGCACGAGAACAGCATGGGGGAAACCACCCCCATGATTCAATTATCTCCCACTAGGTCCCTCCCACAACACGTGGAAATTATGGGAGTACAATTCAAGATGAGATTTGGGTGAGGACACAGAGCCAAACCATATCAGACACTTTCAAATTGATCTCCAATAAAAGCAGTTATCAATTTACATTGGAAAGTATCACTTTATCTTCATTTTCAAGATTATCCAAGCTTTATTAATCTTTTCGTATATAATATAGTAAAGTATTTTATTTTGTTTTTATATTAAGAACACTTAATGTGAGATTTACCTTCTTAACAAATTTTTAAATATACAATACATTATTGTTGACTATAGACTCAATGTTGTACAGCAGATCTCTAGAACTTATGCATTCTGCTCCCTTAAAATTTTATGCCCATCCATTGATAACTGCCCGTTTTCCCCTTTCCCAGCACCTGGTAATCACTATCCCCCTCTTTGATTCTATGAAATCTGTCTTTCTGTGATTAGCTTATTTCACTTAACATAATGTCTTTAAGGTTCATCCATATTGTTATATACTACAAAATTTCCTTTAAAAATATTCCACTGTATGCACATATCATGGTTTTGGGTCCATTAATCTGTCAACATACATTTAGGTTATTCCCTGTAAATACTACCACAATAAACACAGGAGTGCTAATATCTCTTCTAGATCCTGATGTCCACTTTTTTGGGTAAACATTCAGAAGTGGGATTGTTTGATTATATGGTACTACTGTTTTTAATTTTTTGAGGAACCTCCATATTGTTTTTCATTGTGGCTGCACCATGTTGCATTCCCAACAGCAGTGTGCAAGAGGTTCGATTTCCCTACATCCCCATGAACACTTGTTGTCTTTTGTTTTTTGATAATACCTATTCTGACAGGTGTGAGGTAATATCTCATTGTGGTTTTGATTTGCATTTCCCAGATAATTATTAGGTTGGTGCAAAAGTTATTGTGATTTTTACCACTACTTTCAATGACAAAAATTGCAAATAATTTTGCACCAACTTAATAGTGACATTGAGCATTTTTTCATATACTTGTTGGCCATTTGTATTTCTTCTTTGGAGAAATGCCTATTTAAACTATTAGCTCATTTTAAAAATTGCTTTTTTTTTCTATTAAGTTGTAGGAGTTCCTTACACATTTTAGAGATGAACTCCTTTTAAGATATACAGCTTGCAAGTATTATCTCCCATTCCACAAATTGCTTTTCACTCTGTTGATATTTTCTTTGTTGTGCAGAAGCTTTTTAGCTTGATGTAGTCCCACTTGAATATTTTTGTTTTTGTTGCCTGTGTTTTGGTGTCATATCCAATAAATCATTGCCAAGACCGATGCCATGGAGCTTTCCTCTATGTTTTCTTTTAGGGGTTTTACCGTTTTAGGTCTTATATTTAGGTCTTTACTATATTTCAAGTTGATTTTTATGTATGGTAGAAGATGACGGTCAAATTTCATTCCGCTGTGTGTGGATATCCAGTTTTCCCAATACCATTTGTTGAAGAGACTATCCTTTCTCCATTGTGCATGCTTTATACCCTTATTGAAAATCAGTTGACTGATATGTGTGGATCTGGGCTCTCTGTTCTGTACTACTGGTTTATATGTCTGTCTTTATGTCAGTACCATAATGTTTTGATTACCATGACTTTGTAACTCTAATGTTTAACAAAACATTTGTTACATAGTAGAGATGTTAAATGAATATTGATGGAATGTATAGATGAATGAATGAATAAATACCATGGATGTTACCTACTATTCTGGAAAGATAAGTGATACTAATTTTGTCAACTGAGCTGACATTAAAACCACTAGCAATATCACTGAATTCATAGGCCAAATATTTTGTTTTTGTTTCCTGTTATGGAATGGGACAAAATATCAAGAGCCCTGAGTATTATAGTACAAGCAAAATTTCTATAGTCAGAAAATATCAGTTTAAATCCCAAATCTTCCATGGCCTAATGATATAAACTTATGCATGCAGCACTCTTTCCTGCATGTCAATTTGTACATTTGTAATGGTGATAATAAACTCCAAGGTCAAATGAAAAAGGCATGCAAAACCCTGTATAAACTATAACACACCATGCAAATGTTAGTTTTTCTTACCTCCATATTTATAAATAAAAAATTGAGCTCTGAAATATTTGATTCACCCTCGCTAGAGCTGAATCCATGCTTCTTCCACTACCTCTGATCCTCTTGGCCTACCATCTTGACATATTCTAGTCCCTAAGAGGCCACACTGCAACACAGTGCTCTATGGATTTCCAACATGAAATGTCAATGAGTTTTCCAGATTAAAACATTAAAAATGTATGAGGAACTACTGTCATGCAAAGAAGCTAATAATACTCATGATTTTTTTAAGTGAGGCTGTTCATTTCAATAGCAACATGTATTACTGTAATCAGTAAAAATGATTCTAATATCTCCTATTGGTACACACAATAGGAAATAGGCATTTTAATATCAATCTCAATTTTTATGTGCTAAAGTATAACAATGTGTATTCCATCCACATATATAGTTTTTAAAAAGATGTGAAACATACAGCATCAGCTGTAAGCTGATTTATTGTATGGAAGTTGCAGTTACATATTGTTTCTTAAATGCCAGTCGATATTTGCTGGGAAAGGAAGGTGTTTGCTCTATGAAACCTTTGGAGGGTTTAACCTTCATTTTTCCCCTCTCCTTCTGCTTTGTCTCTGCCCACTCTGCCAACTTGGGAGCAATATTCTATCATCCTGTCAGCCCCCTGCCAGGGGAAAGCACATCTGTTACAGGTTGCTAACTTCAACCCAGAACAGGCCAAACACAGTGCTGCTTTTGGCTATAGATTTAAGCCCCAAGAAGGAATCACAAATTCTACATTATGCAATACTTTATAACAATAATAATCAGTGATTTTTTCATAGCACTTCACATACTTATTCACAGCGGCTAAGAGGCTAGTTTTGGGAATTTGTATGGGTTCAAAATATGATTCTTACTTGGACAAGATATCAAACCTCTTTGTGCCTCTGTTTCCTCCCCTATAAAATTCGTCTGATAATTGTATCTACCACATAAGGTTCTGTGGAGTACTAAATGAGATAATCCATGTAATAATCTTAGCACAGGTCTGGCACACAGGTGGGACCAATTTACTTTATCTACAGCTGCTACTATTATTGCTATTTCACCAGCTCAATGAAAAAAAGTGGGAGTTTCCCACTCCCCCCTCTATTTTCTAGGGAAGAAAACAGACTATGAATGGCTAAATTATCTGCCCAAGGTCTCATCACCAGCAATTGGCAGACAGTAACAGACTCATTAAGATTTATGCTCTCCCTGCTTAAATGTACCATTTTTTTCAATAAAGAGCAAAAGAGAAAAAAATTATAAAGAGGAAAGGGAAATAAAGTAGGGATTAGATTACGCTGGGGGCAATCATTCTGCCCAGTCACTTTTTCACCCAAACATTACTTAATTTTGTGACTCTCTATCTACTCATTTACTTAACAAATGTATTAGAAATGGTAAACAGGACAAATCAAGGTACCTGCACTTATGGAGCTCACGTGCCTGGGGCAGGGGGCACAGACAACTGATGAGCAACAAACACACAAACAAACATGGCAAATTCAGATCATCCTTAGTGCTGTGGAGAATATAAAACAGTGTAATGTGACTGAGCAGAGGTCTGAGTGTCAGGGAGAAGAAGCAGTGTGGTTAAGATCATGAGCTCCACAGTTAACTGTCTGGGTCCAAATACTGGCTTTATCACTTAGCAGCTGTGTGACTTTGGGCAAGTGACTTAACCTCCCTGTGCATCAGTTTCCTCATTTTGAGAATTAAATGATTTAATATATGTAAAGAGCTTAGAATAGTCCCTGACACATAATACGAACTCCACAAGTGACAGCCAAATAACAGGAGGCAAACCTGAGAAGATCCGATGGGCTGGGTGTGGTGGCTCACGCCTGTAATTCCAGCACTTTGGGAGGCCAAGGCAGGTGGATCACTTGAAGTCAGGAGCTTGAAACCAGTGTGACCAACATAGTGAAACCCCATCTGTACTGAAAATACAAAAATTAGCTAGGCATGGTGGTATGCACCTGTAATCCCAGCTACTGGAGAGGCTGAGGCAGGAGAATCACTTGAACCTGGGAGGTGAGGGTTGCAGTGAGCCGAGATTGTGCCAATGCACTCCAGCCTGGGCGACAGAGTGAGACTCCATCTCAGAAAAAAAAAAAAAAGAAGATCCAAGGGAAGAGTATTCTAGGCACAAGGAACAGCAAGTGCAAGGGCTGTAAGCAAGGACCAAGCTTTGGATGTTTGAGAAAGAGAAAGGCCAATGTATTAAAAAGTAGTAAACAAGGTGGAGGCTGGTGGTTGATGAGGTCTGTGAAATATTGTAAGAGAATAATAATAGTAGTTCACTTATCTGGAATTAAGAGGCTAGGTAAATCATTTCTTAATGTCATGATTAAATGTCTCAATGTCAGAGCTAAAGGTAGCTCTTAGATCATTTGATAATAGCATAACCCACCTACCAAGAGTAAGTTATATGGGCTCAGATTCATTTTTCCCAGTGAGTAAGGGTCACTAGGCACCAATCACCTCATTTCCATGGTGACTAATTTTGGAATTGGCTAGAGAGGGCCAGGAGCAGAGTCTTGGATCCTCCAGCAAATTGCTTCTCAGGGTGTTGCTGGTTTAGCCACAGGGGAAGCAAATGACTGACCTGTGCATCATGAGCAGTGATTTGTCCAAGATATATGGAATCAGCTTCTCACTATGAGCTGGCATAGACCAACAGGGTCTGAATATAGCTGATTATGCAGGGAACTCATGAATACACCTATCCTGAGAATCCATCAGAATAGAGCCTTTGGGTTCAATCTCGGTCTGGTATGAGCCAGCTGGGTGTTCTTGGGCCTAATTTGTAAAATAAAGGCATCTATGTGTAGCATCTCTGACATAGGTTATGGTGAAGATTAAGTGAGATAAAGCAGAGAGTCTGGGATACAGAATATCTCATGATCACATCTTAAATAATCGAAAAGTGAAGAGCTGAGAGCTAATTCTTATCTTTGACCACTAAATGATAGCATGCCCTCCTGTGCTTGCATAAGAATGGAATTTGGACAATATTTAGCCCAAAAGAACAAAGCATTAAAGTTCATACATTATGCTCCAGGGCAAGCCCTTAGGAAAGAGGGACCAGTGGGGGTGAGGCTGTCCTGGAAACCCCTTCCGAATGAGCTCCAGCCTCAGACAGACGTGAATTCAAATCCAAGCTCATTCTGTGTAGCTTGCTCCAACTCAGAACTAATTTTTCTCATTTGTAAATCTGAAAGAATTATATCTAACTTTGGGGATTCATGTAAACATTAAATGAGGTATAGTGGCTAGTATAACACTGGATAAGCAATAAAAGGTAACTCTTCTAGTTATTCATTCTTGTGAAATAAACTACCCCTATTTTATTACAGCTCATGATTTTGTGGCTCAGGAATTCAATCAGGGCTTGGCTGAGATTCTTATTCTCTATGTGACATCAACTGGGTTACTCAGGGATATTCAGCTGGTAGTGGGACTCATTTAGTGGCTCAAGAAGGCCTAAGAAGGCTTTACCAGTGCCTGTCACTTGGTGGCTATTCTCCATATAGTCATAGGATGCATATATCTGGACTCCCTAGAAAGGTAGTTGGACTTTTTACATGGTGGTGCAGGGCTCCCAGACACCAAAGTAAAGCTTCCAGTCCTTTTCAAGGCTAGGCTTGCCTATACTCCACAGGTTGAAGTAATCACAGGCAAGCTCAGATTCAAGGGAAGAGGAAAAGACCTCAGTTCTTGATAGGAAGAGAATCAAAGAATTTGTGGCCATCTTTATTCTGCCACAGCAGCTAACACTATCAATAATAAGAAACTTGAAGTATGATCAATTGGGCTGCAAACCTGTTATCTCCATGGAATGGCCATTCTCTAACCTCATATTTCTTCTTTTCTATATCTGCAACTCTTCCTTGATTAAGACTCACCCAATATGCAGTGACAGGTTTAAGTCACCTTGCTAACTGACATGCAAAATGATAATATTTTCCACAGCATTTTGATTGCACCATTCATCCAAGAATATCCAAATCCTCTGCAAACAATAATTAAGCCTCTGCACCCCAGTAACCCTCCACCATCTTCTCTTTATAGATGGAGAAGCAATGAGTCCAGGAGAAGAAGTTTGCCAAGGTCAAAGGAGTTGGTGACAGAGCTGAGAAGGAAGCCACAGCATCAGCAGTTCTGTCCCGGCATTCACATTTTCCACTGCCATTGTTGCCAGACCTAGAGATTCAAGGGGAGCCCCACCTGCCCATTTTCCTGTGGCTCACTCTCCCCTTGTCCTTCAACATCATTACTGTTCTCTCTTACCGTGGTATCTCTGAATCCAAACTTCTCCAAAGCCGATGGAGGTCATCAAGAGAGCTGCAGTAGCTGCACATTCCTCACTTCACACCCAGCGTCTTCTCCAATTACTCAGGAAGTCACACGCGATTAAACAGAGGCAGCGAGCAAAGCCAGGTAACCAGAGTCGTGTGTTCATTCTTCACTGGGCATAGCTCATTTGCTTTGCTGTCAAATAGCAAGAAATCCCAGAGAAAAGGAAGGGAAAAAAATTATGGGTGTTGGAGAAAGGGGCATGAGAGAGAAAGTGACTGTAAATGATACACCACATTCAGAATGTATCATTGAACTTTTGGCAAACTATTGACTCCTGCCTGATCTAAGCAAGTGCTATGGCAGATGCTAATGCTTGCTGGAGTCATTTAGCTTGTTGGATAAATGGGAACAAGAATAGACGCATCACTTTTTATTGGTGTACCTTCTCCTTGCGCTGGCCCTGTCTCTTGGTCTTCATGTCCCCAGACCTAGATCATTAATAATCATTTTGTGACTGATCTTTCTACATCGATCCCCACCCCCAGCCACTCTATCCTACTTATGCTAGTTTAATTTTAGAATTAAATTTTAAGTTAGAACTTTAAATTAATTTAGAATTTAAATTTAGAGTTGCAGATCCTTTATAAAATTTGAGTTGGAAGGAATTCAGAAGTTATTTAGCCTAACACCTTCATCTTACAGGTAAAAGTGAGATATCACTATAGCATGGTGACTTGAATACTGTATCAACTTGGACCCAGTATTTAACCTCCCTGAGCCTTAGTTTTACCATCTACAAGAAATGAGTAATAAGTAGTGCCCATCTTTTCACTTGATTGTGATGAGGACTAAACAGAAACATGCACATAAAAGGTTTTGTCCATGAAAAAAAGAGCTCACCCCTTCCTGATACCTCTTGGAAGTCTGGTGTTGGGGACAGATGAGATGGGACTGCAGATCTCTGCTTCCGTCCAGAACTCTGTAAGGATCTCTCAATTTAAGTGAGTTCCATGGATGAAAATCTTGGTTTGCTTCCACAAGAAATTAGGTGACAGTAAAGTAATGAGTATTTGCTCACACAAATATGTTAGCCTCTGCTTGTCTTGTTTTGCTACTCTGATCTCTAGATTGCAAGCTGGAAAATATATCAAAGAGATATATTTACCAAGAGGTCACTGGTCACTGAAATTATACCAGGGGACTGCTGGGTTTTGTTTTTGCTTTTTAAATGGGCACGCAGGGTTGCAGCCTCTAAAGGAACATCTCTCCCTCTGTCTTCAGACTGCTCATTAGTTCCCTTTGCCGCTTCCTCCATCAGCGCCACACACAACCATGTTTCTTATCAGCTTCAGCCTGTGCTTCACTTTCTACTCTGACCATTTCTTTTTCTATCTTCCTTATCTTAACACAAAAAGGAGCAAAGCTATTCCCTGAAACTCAGGTGCAGCCGCTGTCATGTATTTGTCCTAGATCAAGAATTAGTATTTGGTAAGCTGAAAGAGTTTATTCATTGACCTAGGTAAGAGTTCATTTTCTCAAAGGGAGGTGGACTTACCCTGTACTCTCAAAGTTTTAGAGCCCATTGATTGGAAATATACCAAAGACTTATCCCTCACCATTACCATTCTGATAAGAAACTCTAATTCATCTGGCCCTACATCTATAAGGAGGTATAAGGAATATAATGATATAACTACAAGATATAATCACTGCCTTTAAGGATCATATGAAAAAGTGAAAGAAATTAAATGATTTTTATTATGATAATAAGTAAATTTATTAGGCCCTGTATCAGGCACTGTTGTGAGGGATTTACATGTACAAACTCATTTAATCCTCCCAACAACGTGTGAAGTAGGGGTTGCTATTTGTCCTGTTTCATAGATAAGGAAAAGGGAGATCACATAGATAGGGAGATCTGGGAAATAAGTCCATGCTATATAATTCCAAAACTTGTGTGGAAATCACATTGAAATAGACATAATAACAACAAAAAAAGGCTATGAAAGGTCCACACAATTCAGAGAGAAATCCTACAGAGTAGAATAAGGAGCTTAAAGGAAGGTGTGCAAGACAGGACCCAGCTTTGTAAAATAAGGAGTCATTAAACCAAGGTTTCTCAACCTCAGCCCTATTGACATGTTGTGCCAAATAATTCTTTGTTGTGAGGGCTGTCCTGTACACTGTAGGAAGTTTATAGCATCCCTTGCCTCTACCTACTGACTGCAACAGAACCCCCCTAATTGTGGCAACCAAAAAATTCTAGAGACACTGTCAAATGTGCCATCCAAAGAGAAGGGCCATGCAAAGTCAGGAGGTAAGCTTGACCTAAGCACAGTGTTAAAGAGAAAAGTTGAGTAAAGAGTAAAGTAGAGATTGAAGCCGGATCGTAAAGGGCTTTGAATGCCAGGTTATGAATTTGGGAACTGGGAGCTGGTGCAGGTTTTTGAAACTGAGGCTAAGGTATGCCCCTTACTTCCTGTTCAGCTGCCCACTGACCTCTGTACAGTTCTCTGAATGTGCCAAGCACACTTTGGCCTTAGAGCTATTCCCTCTCCCATAATCCTGTGCCCTCAGTTTCCTGTAGAGCCTCTCTCACTTCTACTGTGTCTGCTTTGAAACCTCGCTTTATGAGGGAGCCCAGCCCCACCTGTAACGCTCTATCCCCTTCTCCTGCTTAATTTTCTTTCATACATCTACTTTTCCTTCGCACTACACCCACTGTATCATTTATTAATGCCTTTATCACTTTACTGTTCATCTGCCCTATTAGAATGTCACTTTCATGAGGCAAGCAAGCACTTTGTGTGCTGCTGTATCCTCAATACCTCAAGAAAAACTTCATAGCACATAGTACACACTCAATGAATACTTGAGTTAATGAATTAATTTTCAATAGAGTGTTTCAAGTAGAGTGTTTTCCTAGAAGTCAGGTGTATCCATGTCCAATCTATAAAGGGAAGGTCTTCATAACATCCGAGATTGTCAAACTATGATCTAAGTACTCCCTGAATCAGAATTAACTAGAGTGAGGTGTATGTTAAAAATGTGGCCTCCTGTGCCCCAGTCTAGAGCCAACAAATCAGAGTATCTGGATGGCAGGACCCAGAAGCTTCATTTTAATGCATTCCAAAGTGTATAAGGTACCTAGCGACTCTAATAGTTTGTGAGATGACTTTGTCCTTGTTCTTTCTGATTAACTTCACTTCTTAGGAAGACAGGATTCGGATTCTCAGGCATTAATAAACATGGGATTATAGCTTAGAACATCTTGAGACTCTACATGATGCCTATCAAAATACAAATGTCACTATATATTGAGGTAAATCTTAAATTCTCACAGCCCTTTACAATATACACAGCATTTCACATTCACAATTTTTTTCTATCCTTCCAATAGTTTCCAGAAAGGCAGGGTGGGCACGATTTCCTCTGTTGTGTTAGATAAGGCAACAGAGACTCAAAGAGGGAAAATCACTTCCCTAGGGCCACACTACCCAGTGTTGTATTCACCCCTGTGCTATTTCTACTCCACCATTCAATTGACCTATTGTAATAGCTAAATGCATTTTACTGATACCTAATAGCTTACTAAATACTAAATACTTTCACAAAACCTTATAAAATATGTTTAGGTAAGCAGTATTATCTACATTTTTAGATTAGCAAATTAGAAGTTATTGTATAGTAACATGGTTAAATTCTTAAGCTCTGGACTAAATGTCCTAGTTTTGCCACTTGCTCCATGATTTTGAATAAATTATCTAACTTACATGAGCCTCAGTTTCCCTATCTGCAAAATAGGGATAATAATAACTATTTTGGGGATGCTGTGAGAATTGCCATAATCCATGTAAAATGCATATGGCCTGACACACAGACCAAAGTCAACAAATGTCAACCATTGTTAGTAGTAATTAAGGTTCTGAGGTTAACAAAAGCAGAAAGAATGTCTCATTGTAATCCTGATACTTAGCCTAATGGGTGGCATAGCAGGAATTCAATATATATTTGCTCAACTAAACGATAAAGGAATGAATGACAGAGGTTAAATGACTTCCTCAAGGTCATCTACTAGGTAAATAACAAAGTCAAGATCCAACCACCTCAATTTCTTTTTTTTTTTTTTTTTTTTTTTTACATTTCAGTGATCAATTATTTTCTTTTTTTTTTTTTAATTATACTTTAAGTTTTAGGGTACATGTGCACATTGTGCAGGTTAGTTACATATGTATACATGTGCCATGCTGGTGCGCTGCACCCACTAACTCGTCATCTAGCATTAGGTATATCTCCCGATGCTATCCCTCCCCCCTCCCCCCACCCCACAACAGTCCCCAGAGTGTGATATTCCCCTTCCTGTGTCCATGTGATCTCACTGTTCAATTCCCACCTACGAGTGAGAATATGCGGTGTTTGGTTTTTTGTTCTTGCGATAGTTTACTGAGAATGATGATTTCCAATTTCATCCATGTCCCCACAAAGGACATGAACTCATCATTTTTATGGCTGCATAGTATTCCATGGTGTATATGTGCCACATTTTCTTAATCCAGTCTATCATTGTTGGACATTTGGGTTGGTTCCAAGTCTTTGCTGTTGTGAATAATGCCGCAATAAACATACATGTGCATGTGTCTTTATAGCAGCATGATTTATAGTCCTTTGGGTATATACCCAGTAATGGGATGGCTGGGTCAAATGGTATTTCCAGTTCTAGATCCCTGAGGAATCGCCACACTGACTTCCACAATGGTTGAACTAGTTGACAGTCCCACCAACAGTGTCAAAGTGTTCCTATTTCTCCACATCCTCTCCAGCACCTGTTGTTTCCTGACTTTTTAATGATTGCCATTCTAACTGGTGGGAGATGATATCTCATTGTGGTTTTGATTTGCATTTCTCTGATGGCCAGTGATGATGAGCATTTTTTCATGTGTTTTTTGGCTGCATAAATGTCTTCTTTTGAGAAGTGTCTGTTCATGTCCTTTGCCCACTTTTTGATGGGGTTGTTTGTTTTTTTCTGGTAAATTTGTTTGAGTTCATTGTAGATTCTGGATATTAGCCCTTTGTCAGATGAGTAGGTTGCGAAAATTTTCTCCCATTTTGTAGGTTGCCTGTTCACTCTGATGGTAGTTTCTTTTGCTGTGCAGAAGCTCTTTAGTTTAATTAGATCCCATTTGTCAATTTTGTCTTTTGTTGCCATTGCTTTTGGTGTTTTAGACATGAAGTCCTTGCCCATGCCTATGTCCTGAATGGTAATGCCTAGGTTTTCTTCTAGGGTTTTTATGGTTTTAGGTCTAACGTTTAAGTCTTTAATCCATCTTGAATTGATTTTTGTATAAGGTGTAAGGAAGGGATCCAGTTTCAGCTTTCTACATATGGCTAGCCAGTTTTCCCAGCACCATTTATTAAATAGGGAATCCTTTCCCCATTGCTTGTTTTTCTCAGGTTTGTCAAAGATCAGATAGTTGTAGATATGTGGCATTATTTCTGAGGGCTCTGTTCTGTTCCATTGATCTATATCTCTGTTTTGGTACCAGTACCATGCTGTTTTGGTTACTGTAGCCTTGTAGTATAGTTTGAAGTCAGGTAGTGTGATGCCTCCAGCTTTGTTCTTTTGGCTTAGGATTGACTTGGTGATGTGGGCTCTTTTTTGGTTCCATATGAACTTTAAAGTAGTTATTTCCAATTCTGTGAAGAAAGTCATTGGTAGCTTTATGGGGATGGCATTGAATCTGTAAATTACCTTGGGAAGTATGGCCATTTTCACGATATTGATTCTTCCTACCCATGAGCATGGAATGTTCTTCCATTTGTTTGTATTCTCTTTTATTTCCTTGAGCAGTGGTTTGTAGTTCTCCTTGAAGAGGTCCTTCACATCCCTTGTAAGTTGGATTCCTAGGTATTTTATTCTCTTTGAAGCAATTGTGAATGGGAGTTCACTCATGATTTGGCTCTCTGTTTGTCTGTTGGTGGTGTATAAGAATGCTTGTGATTTTTGTACATTGATTTTGTATCCTGAGATTTTGCTGAAGTTGCTTATCAGCTTAAAGAGATTTTGGGCTGAGACAATGGGGTTTTCTAGATATACAATCATGTCGTCTGCAAACAGGGACAATTTGACTTCCTCTTTTCCTAATTGAATACTCTTTACTTCCTTCTCCTGCCTGATTGCCCTGGCCAGAACTTCCAACACTATGTTGAATAGGAGTGGTGAGAGAGGGCATCCCTGTCTTGTGCCAGTTTTCAAAGGGAATGCTTCCAGTTTTTGCCCATTCAGTATGATATTGGCTGTGGGTTTGTCATAGATAGCTCTTATTATTTTGAGATACATCCCATCAATACCTAATTTATTGAGAATTTTTAGCATGAAGGGTTGTTGAATTTTGTCAAAGGCTTTTTCTGCATCTATTGAGATAATCATGTTGTTTTTGTCTTTGGCTCTGTTTATATGCTGGATTACATTTATTGATTTGCGTATATTGAACCAGCCTTGCATCCCAGGGATGAAGCCCACTTGATCATGGTGGATAAGCTTTTTGATGTGCTGCTGGATTCGTTTTGCCAGTATTTTATTGAGGATATTTGCATCAATGTTCATCAAGGATATTGGTCTAAAATTCTCTTTTTTTGTTGTGTCTCTGCCTGGCTTTGGTATCAGAATGATGCTGGCCTCATAAAATGAGTTAGGGAGGATTCCCTCTTTTTCTATTGTTTGGAATAGTTTCAGAAGGAATGGTACCAGTTCCTCCTTGTACCTCTGGTAGAATTCGGCTGTGAATCCATCTGGTCCTGGACTCTTTTTGGTTGGTAAGCTATTGATTATTGCCACAATTTCGGCTCCTGTTATTGGTCTATTCAGAGATTCAACTTCTTCCTGGTTTAGTCTTGGGAGAGTGTATGTGTCCAGGAATTTATCCATTTCTTCTAGATTTTCTAGTTTATTTGCGTAGAGGTGTTTGTAGTATTCTCTGATGGTAGTTTGTATTTCTGTGGGACCAGTGGTGATATCCCCTTTGTCATTTTTTATTGTGTCTATTTGATTCATCTCTCTTTTTTGCTTTATTAGTCTTGCTAGCGGTCTATCAATTTTGTTGATCCTTTCAAAAAACCAGCTCCTGGATTCATTGATTTTTTGAAGGGTTTTTTGTGTCTCTATTTCCTTCAGTTCTGCTCTGATTTTAGTTATTTCTTGCCTTCTGCTAGCTTTTGAATGTGTTTGCTCTTGCTTTTCTAGTTCTTTTAATTGTGATGTTAGGGTGTCAATTTTAGATCTTTCCTGCTTTCTCTTGTGGGCATTTAGTGCTATAAATTTCCCTCTACACATGCTTTGAATGCGTCCCAGAGATTCTGGTATGTTGTGTCTTTGTTCTCGTTGGTTTCAAAGAACATCTTTATTTCTGCCTTCATTTCGTTATGTACCCAGTAGTCATTCAGGAGCAGGTTGTTCAGTTTCCATGTACTTGAGCGGTTTTGAGTGAGATTCTTAATCCTGAGTTCTAGTTTGATTGCACTGTGGTCTGAGAGATAGTTGGTTATAATTTCTGTTCTTTTACATTTGCTGAGGAGAGCTTTACTTCCCAGTATGTGGTCAGTTTTGGAATAGGTGTGGTGTGGTGCTGAAAAAAATGTATATTCTGTCGATTTGGGGTGGAGAGTTCTGTAGATGTCTATTAGGCCTGCTTGGTGCAGAGCTGAGTTCAATTCCTGGGTATCCTTGTTGACTTTATGTCTCATTGATCTGTCTAATGTTGACAGCGGGGTGTTAAAGCCTCCCATTATTAATGTGTGGGAGTCTAAGTCTCTTTGTAGGTCACTCAGGACTTGCTTTATGAATCTGGGTGCTCCTGTATTGGGTGCATATATATTTAGGATAGTTAGCTCTTCTTGTTGAATTGATCCCTTTACCATTATGTAATGGCCTTCTTTGTCTCTTTTGATCTTTGTTGGTTTAAAGTCTGTTTTATCAGAGACTAGGATTGCAACCCCTGCCTTTTTTTGTTTTCCATTTGTTTGGTAGATCTTCCTCCATCCTTTTATTTTGAGCCTATGTGTGTCTCTGCACGTGAGATGGGTTTCCTGAATACAGCACACTGATGGGTCTTGACTCTTTATCCAATTTGCCAGTCTGTGTCTTTTAATTAGAGCATTTAGTCCATTGACATTTAAAGTTAATATTGTTATGTGTGAATTTGGTCCTGTCATTATGATCTTAGCTGGTTATTTTGCTCGTTAGTTGATGCAGTTTCTTCCTAGTCTCGATGGTCTTTACATTTTGGCATGATTTTGCAGCAGCTCGTACCGGTTGTTCCTTTCCATGTTTAGTGCTTCCTTCAGGAGCTCTTGTAAGGCAGGCCTGGTGGTGACAAAATCTCTCAGCATTTGCTTGTCTGTAAAGTATTTTATTTCTCCTTCACTTATGAAGCTTAGTTTGGCTGGATATGAAATTCTGGGTTGAAAATTCTTTTCTTTAAGAATGTTGAATATTGGCCCCCACTCTCTTCTGGCTTGTAGGGTTTCTGCCGAGAGATCCGCTGTTAGTCTGATGGGCTTCCCTTTGAGGGTAACCTGACCTTTCTCTCTGGCTGCCCTTAACATTTTTTCCTTCATTTCAACTTTGGCCAACCACCTCACTTTCAAGTCTGATGTTCCTCACACAACACTGGTTGTCTAGCCTTTTGAACTAAGCAATGGGGTAAGGACGAGGATTCGTTTCACTGTTGTGCTGTCTGAGAAGGTTCTACATTTGTGAATATGGAATTGCAAATTATTGACTGAAGAAAGTGTGTTGGACCCAACGGGCTCATCTAGGCTTTGTTCTTATCATCCAGTCTCCCTCCCAGATGCCCTTGTGCCAGGAGCTGTACGCATTGGTATTTGTATTCTGAAACAACAGCAAGGCCATTCTGAGTCTCTCTTCTCATTTAAAGATTCCAGGCCTGTCTGCACGTCTCACTAGTTTAGGAGTGTATTTGGTTGTTTGTTTATAATTGACACATAATAATTGTACATGTTTATGGGCTACAGTGTGATGTTTCAATATATGTATACATTACATAATGATCAGATCAGGGTAGTTAGCATATTCATCATCTCAAACATTTATCACTTCTCTGTGGTGTCAGGAGTGTATTTGGAAGGTGAATTGCTAGGTTGTTCTGGTAGAAGCAAAAAGGGAGAAGGGTTGTATAATTGTAATTGTGCTGTCACATGAGGTTAGTAAATCCCCATCCTATTCTCCTAACCCTTCAATCACCACCACTACCTCCTCCTCCTCCACCTCCTAACAGAGAATACGCACACTTTAACTAACCTAATGACTTTTCAATCACTTCTGATATGAAAACTGCAGTTCTCCAAGCTCTTCAGTTCATGCTTTGTGTCAAATCTGCATTGAACAGTAACCACTAATCAACGTTAATTTATTGATGGCTCAAAACCTAATTTCTTTATAGCTATGCTGAATCATGCAACAAAGATTATAGTACTTCTAATGTCTTTTAAATGTGATCATCATTATTTTGCGGGGGAAAACAACAAGCAGAATACAGAATCAATGTTTAGAATGCAAGGAACTTTTAAAAGCCAACAAGAAGCCTTGTTTGAGAATGAGACTCCTGAAATAGGAAAGCTTATACAGACCTTAGAAATAACTTGATCCAATACCGTCAGTTTACAGTTGTAAAAATTGGGGCCAGAGAGAGACAAGACACTTGTTCAGGGCTATGCGTCTTCCTTCTCTACAGCTAGCCATTTCATCTGCCCGGACTGCCCATCACAGATGTGTTTCTAAACAAATCCTAACCTACACACTGGGAAGCTTTATTTAATAAAATTCTTGAGTCACAGCAAGCAGAGCTACTAGAGTTGATTGGAAGATAACACCATGGCTCAGGAATTGCCCCTCTGCTGCCTCCTGGAGAGATACAGCAGCACAGGAGCATGCATGTGGAGGCAAACTTGCCAGCACAGAGAGTATGGCAGAACAGGGCTGCCAGTCAGATGACATAGATTAAAGGCACATGATAAAGCTCCCCTATTAAGTTGAGCAATTGAACATGCTCAATCAGGGATCCCAGCTCTATCAGTTATAAATATCAGTGACACCAGGCACTTACATATAAAGCTGTCCTGGGCTCTTAATGCCAATCGCTGGAAGATAAGAATAGGAGTTCCAAACATTTTAAAACCCAAGCTTCTGTGGATATGAGATATTGGCAGAGGAGTCTGGAAGACTGCCATGTTTGTACACAACATGCATGTGCATGTACACACATACACACACACACACATACACCCACACAGAATACAATGGTAATTCATATTAGCTTTTGGAAACCATCCTCAGATGCCCAGGACTTCTGAAAATGCTTTCCTTTAATCTATTATGTTGAACCTCCTTCCAAGGTTAACCAACAAGGGAACAGTACAATCAGATATTCTAGATGGAGCTAAATCAGTTACATTGGGGTATCATAGAACAGTGGCCTATGTTTGTTGAGGGCACTGATGAGCCACCTGTGCTTGTTTATCCCAAGACACAATTTCAGAATAAAACATCATAGAGCTGCCTCCATGTTGCTGCTCTCAAAATGTCCTGGTATCAATATTTTATTGGTTAAAATACAGGACTAATTTTTTCATTTTCATTGTCCTCTTCCATACAGTAGGTAGTAGGATAGAGCAGTGGAAACAGCAGCAGAAAGAACAGCTGAATTTTACTGAGCTCTTACCATGTGCCAAGCACTGTGCTAGGTTCCTGATAAGTGTTATCTCATTTAACTTTCTCTACCATATGATATGAGCACTGTTATTATCCTCACTTTACAGATGAGAAAACTGATATAATGACATAATCCTAAATTCATCCTGGTTATGGGTAGCAGAGCCAGATCAGGTGCCAGGTGAATCTGTCTCCGCAGTTCTTGAGATTCAAGAAAGCTATTTTACTTTTGTATTTTATTTTTCATTAGTAAAAATATGGTAAATTAATTTACTAAATTGACTTTCTGGTACATAACTATAGGAATTTTTAACACATGTAGAAATTCTTATAACCCCTGCAACAAAAATACAGAATAGTTCCATCACCCCATGAATTGCTTAATGCCATCCCTTTGTGTGCACAACTTGTCCTCAATCCTAACCCCTGAAAACCATTGATCTGTTCTTCACTACAGGTCTGTCTCTTCAAAAATGTCATGTAAATGAAATCCTCCAGTAGCTTACCTTTTGAGATGGCTTCTTTCCCTCAGCATAATCCCTTTCAGATTCATCCACATAGTTGCAGTTCTCCATAGTGTGTTTCTTTTACTGCTGACTTGGATTCCAGTGTATGGAGGTACCACAGTTTATACTTACTCACACACTGAAGGGCTTTGAGTTGCTTCAAATTCGGGGCAACTATGAATGAAGCTGCCATAAACATTCTTGGACAGGTTTTTGTGTGAACGTAAGTTTACATTTATCTAGGTTAAATACACAGGAGTAGGAAGAATGGGCCAAATTGGTTAACTTTATAAGGAACTGACAAACTGTTTTCCAAAGTGGCTGATCACTTTTCATCCCCGCAAGAAATGTAGGAGAGTTCAGATTGCTCTGCATCTTCATCAGCATTTGAAATTATCAGCATTTTCATTTTAGTCATTCTGATAAGTATGTTATTCACCTATTGGGGTATATTCTCAATGAATAGATTTTTTTATGGATTATACTTTTGGTGTCAGATCTAAGGACTCTTTGATTAACTCCAAGTCCTAAATATTTTTTTTCTGTGTTTTCTTATAAAAGTTTTTAAAAATGTTGGACATCACTAATCATCACAGAAATACAAATCAAAACCACAATGAGATACCAGCTCATACAAGTCAGAATGGCTATTGTTAAAAAGTAAAAAATAAAACAAAAAAAAACCCACACAACAGATGCTGGTGAGGCTGCAGAGAAAAGGGAACACTTATACACTATTTGTGGGAATGCAAATTAAGTTCAGCCACTGTGGGAAGCAGTTAGGAGATTTATCAAGGAACTTGAAATAGAACTACCATTTGACCTAACAATTCCTTTACTGGTAATGTATCCAAAGGAAAATAAATTGTTCTACCAAAAAGATACATGCACTTGTATGTTCATTGCAGAGCTATTCACAATAGCAAAGACATGGAATCAACCTAGATGGCCATCAATGGTGGGCTGGATAAAGAAAATGTGGTACATATACACCATGGAATACTACACAGCCATAAAAAAGAACAAAATCATGACTTTTGCAGCAACATGGATGCAGCTGGAGGCCATTATCCTAAGCCAATTAACACAGGAACAGAAAACTAAATACCGCACGTTCTCACTTATAAGTGGGAGTGAAACATTGGGTACTTGTGGACATAAAACAGCAACAATAAACACTGGGGACTACGAGAGCAGGGTAGGAGGGAAAGGGGAAAGAGGTGAAAAACTTACTATTAGGTACTATGCTCAGTACCTGGGTGAAGGGATCATACTCCTAACCTCAGCATCATGCAATATACTCATGTAACAAAGGTACACATGAATCCCTAAATCTAAATTAAAAGTTGAAATTATAAAAAAATTAAATGTTAAAAAATTAAAGGTTTTCTTAGTTTATATTTTGCATTTTGGTAATACACATTGATTGATTATTGTATAAAATGTGAGGTTTAGGTCAAGTTTCATTTTTATTGCAAATGAATGTCTAATTGCTCCAGTACCATTTGTTGAAAAGACTATCCTTCCTCCATTGAGTTGCTTTTGCACCTTTGTAAAAAAAAATAATAATAATTGGCTAGGGTAGAGGAGAATAGAGAATGGACTGCTAATGGATGGGAACTTTCTTTCTGGGGTGATAAAACTCTTCAAAAATTAGATTATGATAACAGTTGCACTACCCTGTAAACATTCCAAAACCACTGAATTTTACACTTTAAATGAGTGGATTTTACACATGTAATTTATATCCCAATAATCATGTTAATTAAAAAAATTAATTGGCCATCAAGTGTGAGTCTACTTTTGGACTTTCTGCTCTAGACAAATTATATATTTCATTTTATATATCATTTTATATATTCAAATTATATATATTCATCTGTATATTCAAATGATATATATACTATGTCTCTCTATATATAGATATATATATATCAATTAACTGCACATTTATTTAGTTCCTACTGTATGTAGACATTCTACATAAAGGGAACTAAAACATGAGAGAAGAGCAAGATCCTTCATCAGAAGTTTACAAAGTAGTAAGGGAGAGAGCTACCTATACAGATCTTTTCAGTGCAATGTGATAAATATTAGTGGACATGGGAATAAATAAGAGGTAGTTACATGGGAATAGATAAGAGGCGTATTTACTTCAGCCTGATGGCAATGAATGGGGTAGCGAGATTATCCTTGTTCAAGCCACCACCATCTTTCACTTGGACCACAGCAACAGCCTCCTAATTTAGATACACATTTCTAATTTTGCCCTACTAACAATCTATTTAAAAAAATCAGTTTCATTGAGATATAATTCAAGTACAATTTGCCCATTTAAAGTGCATAAATCAATGGTTTTATTATATTCACTGAGTAGTGTATCCATCACCACAATTTTAGAACATTTTCATTATGTCAGAAATGTTCTAACCATAATCCTCCAAACTTCATTCCCCCCAGCCTTAGGCAACCACTAATCTGTCTACTGCTCCTGTGGATTTGCCTGTTCTGGAGAGTTTACATAAAGGTAGTCATATGATACGTGTTCCTGTGCGGCTGACTTCTTTTACTTAGGTAATGTTTTTGAGGTTCACACATGTTGAAGCATGTCTCATCACTTTATCTTTAATACCTAATAGTCCATTGCATGCATATATGACATTTTATGTGTCCATTCATCAGATGATGACTATTTCGGTTGTTTCCATTTTTGGGTATTATGATTTAATGATGTATGAATATTTGTGTGAAGATTTTTTTTTTACTTCTCTTAGGTACGTACCTAGAAGTAGATTGCTAAATCATATGGTAACCCTGTTTACCATTTGAGGAACTGCTAGGTTGCTTTCGACTGTGGCTGCACCATTTTATGTTCCCACCAGCAGCAAATAAGGGTTCCAATTTCTCCATAGCCTAGCCAACACTTGTTATTACCTCTCTTTTTCAATTATTATCATCCTACTGGGTGTGAAGTGGTATTTAATTAGGGTTTTGATTTACATGTCTCTGATGGATAATGATGCTAAGGATCTTTTCGTGAACTTATTAGCCACTTGCATATCTTCTTGAGAGAAATGTCTATTCAAATCCTTTGCTCATTTTTTAAATTGCATGTATTTTATGACTGAGTTGTAGAAGTTCCTTATACATTCTGGATACAAGTCTTTATCAGATAACTGATGTACAAATATTTTCTTCCATTCTGTGGGTTGTTCTTTTGTTTCCTTCACAATGTTATTTAGTGTACCTAAGTCTTAAATTTTGATAAAACCCAATTTATCATGTTCTTTCTTTTGTTACATGTCCTTTTGGTATCATATATAAGAAACCATTGCCATATCCAATGTCAGAATTTACCAGTATACTTTTGTCAAAGAGTTTTATAGTTTTAGCTCTTATGTTTAGGCTTTAATCTGTGTTGACTTATTTTTTTGTAAATAGTATGAGGTAGAAGTCTAGCTTTGTTCCATTTTTATTTGGATATCCAGTTGTCTTAGTACCATTTATTGAAAAGACTATTCTCTCCCCCATCCAATTGTCTTGTCACCTTAACTGAAGATCAACTGCCTATGAATATGAGGGCTTATTTCTGGACACTCAATTCCATTCCATAGATCTATACATCTACAACAATCTATTCTTCACACTACAGAGTCCTCTTAAAACATATAATGGCAAAAATAATGCCATGCCCATGCTTCATGTCCTGAGGACTTACCATTGTACATAAAATAAAATCCAAGTCCCACAAGTTCTTACATGATCTGGTCCCTGCCAATCTCTCCAACCCTTGTCCTCCACTTGTGGAGATCTAGCCACAAAGACCTCCTTTCTCTTCCTTAAGACCCTTGCACCAGCCTTTTCCAGTGCCCATAATAGTTCTCTCAGTTCTATCTGTGGCATCTGTTTTCAACATTCAGGCTTTATCTCAATTCTACCTCAAGAAAAATCACAACATGTTCTATCTCTTCATAGAAATTATCGCTTTCTGAAATTATTTTGTCTACTCACTTCTTGATTTATTTGTTTATTGTTTACCACCCCAATCGAATGCAAATCTCATAAGAGCAAGGATCTTGTTCAAGATTTCAAACAGTCTGGCATATAGTAGGTGTTCAATAAATATGTATTAAATTGTGTAAACAAATGAAAAATTGAATGAGTTAGAGAAGTCATCCTGGAGTAGTTGGCACTGGAGATGAGTCTAAATGAAACCTAAACAAGACTCCTTGTTATCTCTATAATAATTATGTCCTGAATTGGACCACTTAAAACATCCTGCAAAAATAAGGTCTATATTTGCTAAAAAGCAAAATCAATAGAAGTTAATGTATAGTATACTTAACAACATGTTAAAACATGCATTGCCAAACTAGAGATTCATAGCTAAGCAATGTCCATTTAATAATGAAAACAAAAATAATAAACTGCCATTTCTCCTTTGCCTGCTTTACCCTATTCTGAGCCCACCGTCTCTTTGATTGTAGTTTTTCAGCTGCATATTTGTGAATCGTGTCAAATGGAATCTGGGCTGAATTGTGGTGCCAACTTTGAGGCCTTCCTTGCTACTGAGACCAGCTGTCACATGAGGAAAATGCAGCCCTCTTCCAACTGGCACAAAACAATGCCTAACAGCTAGATTGGGTGACACTCCCACAGTGGTAGCTGGAAACTGCTTGTTTATGATTTTTTTTAACCTCACTTGCCCCACCTTATTGGAAAATGACATGGTATTTGCCCTCCTGCCTTAGTTCCTCTCAGGAATTATATTCAGCATGTTTATGCTATTTGCCAACATTGATCACTAGTAGGAAAACAGCAGCAACAATAGCGTGGAGGGCAGGGACTATGGAGTCACAAAGTTGGATACAAATCCCAGCTCTGCTACTTACCAAATATGTGACTCTGGGAAAGTACTTAACTCTTCTCTAGTTCTGATTTTTTTCTATTGATGAAATGAAGAATATATCTCTTATCTAAGTCATTGGGATAAATTATTTGTTCATTCAAATAATATGTATAGAGTGCCCATTATAAACATAATGGTTGCCATGTATTGACAGCATAGCATGGGACAACCGTTGTTCATTTATTTATTCTCAAGCCACTTCAAGAGCTAGGCCCTATTATTACCATCCCCATTTTACAGATGAGGAAAGAGACATTCAGAGATATGAAATAAATGCCCAAAGTCACATGGTTAAAGTGGCAGAGACAGAATTTAAACCTAGGATTGCCTGAATCTAGTCTTCATTCTTAAGGATGGCTTTCCACAAGGGCTTTTTCCAGGTTTTATGCTCTGCTAATTTCCCAGCCCTGGGTATTAGCATTCAGAATCTGCTTGTCAGGTTGCTCCAGCACAAAGTAGATATTCCATAAGTCTATGCTAAAGTAATTTGCAGACATTCTCTATGGCTACATACCAGCACTATGCTAGACACTAAGAATACCACCACACATAGCAAAGGCTAAGTCCCCTGCCCTCATGTAGTTCACAGTCTGGTGGGAATCAAATTAGACCATGGCTATCAATCACCTAGCACAGTACCTAGCACATAATACATATATTTCTTAACTGCTAGTGCTACAATTTTGATAAGACATTATTCCTTCTTTGCTCAACTCAAACTCGAATGTCTGTCTGCTCAATATGCAATGAGATAACTATTGTGTAATAATTCATAATATTGCAATCTTTACCTTTGGGAGCTGTTATTATTTATTCTCACTCATTCTTTTAAAAGGCATTTCCTGAACATATACTCTGGGTTAAAGAATACCAGTTCTACGGGAGGTGGAGCTTGCAGTGAGCCAAGATAGCACCACTGCACTCCAGCCTGGGCGACAGAGCAAGACTCCGTCTCAAAAAAAAACAAAAAAACAAAAACAAACAAAAACAACAACAACAACAAAAAACAATACCAGTTCTACAAAATCCAGGGAAATCTTTCAGAGAAACTGGCCTCGTTCTGCTGACCATTTGCTTCCACTACGCCTTTAGCTCTAGCTGAAGGGCAAGAATGAAAGGTACCACCTGATATCCAGCAACCTGGCCCTAGCATGGAGTGCCTTCCAGGAAGCTCAAGCAAAACTGACCCGCTTATGGTTATTTTATTCTCACCTAGAAGTTGATATGGCAAGGGACATGGCTAGAAACAAGAAGCATAGGATTGGGTGGCATGTGCATAAATAGCTGAGTTAGAAAGAGAACAGGTTGGGCTTTAAAGCAAGTGAAATTTGTTTTCAGCACCCTGCATCCCCCTTTCCACATTCAAGCATCAAAGACTGGTCCGGAGAAGCAGATGTAGGCTTGCCATGTGTGGCCGCAGAGAGCAGAAGCAGGAGTTTCCACAGACAAGCGGAACTTTCTAATAACCAGAAATAAACTATTAATAAGTGAGGCAGTGAGCAACCTGACCAATGAATGACACTTCACTGGCATATTTTTGTAAGGATTGTAGAACCTTGTGGTTACCTGGTCTTTCTGGAAGTGAGATAGATTCTATTATTCCTTCTATCTCTTGGATATTTTTCCTCAAGAAGCCAATGTTCTCATAACTTTCTTCATCTTCTTATATCTGTAAGGGTTGGTCATTCACCAGGCACATCTTTGCCCCTCTTTTATATCCACATCAAAACATTGCCATCTAGGTACCCCTCTCTCAGCATCCCATTACAGAACTTTCAAAATAACACAAGCCATGGTTAGCTGCCATGTGTATTCTCTCTTTTTAGAAAATATTTACATTTTAACAAGGTTTTCCCCAGCTAAGAGGAATAACAAAATGTTTTTCTTTACTCGGGGTGGGAGCAGAGTATCAAGAAAGGAAAAGAGGCTGGGGCACCATAGGTTTGTTTATCTACTTAACAATTTTGCTGCAAGATCAGCATTGCACACAAGTAAGGATAAACTGCTTCCTAGCCATTGACAGGAAAAGACAAAAATAATGAGAAAATCTGAAGCTTTTTCTTATGTAGTTTGTCAAATTATTTTCTGCCTGAGTAGTTTTTTGTGGACTTTTAAATTATAGTCACTTGCCACATAATGTTTGTGGTCAGTGACAGGTCACATATATAACAGTGGTCCTCAAATAGTATAATACTTTTATGTACCTTTTCTACATATAGATGTGTTTAGATACACAAATACTTACCATTGTGTTACAACTGCCTACAGTATTCAGGACAGTCATATGCTATACATGTTTTTAGCCTAGGAGCAATAGGCTATACCATATAGCATAGGTGTGTAGTAGGCTATATCATCTAGGTTGTATTAGGACACTCTATGATGTTTGCACAACAACAAAAAGTCACCTAACAATACATTTCTCATAAAGTATCCTGCCATTATGGGACACATGACTCTATATATTTTCTGATACTAATACCACAAACCAGAATTCATGCCAAATTAAGTTACAAAATATTATTACATTAATATTTATATTTGCAACATATTTTACAACAAACCATTGAGACAATTACTATTATTATTCTCCAATCTTAAGGATAACTGAAATTCAAAGAAGTTAATTAACTCCCCCAAAGTCAGTTGATCAATCAGAGGTAGAATTCAAAACCAAGGAGTCTGTTTCTAAAGCTTAACCTACTAAGACATGGTTGCAATAAGCAGGTTTTAAGGGGGCCCTCAAGATTCCCAGCCCTTGGTGGACAAATACCTTCTCCTAGTTATTCAATCAAACTCAAATCTGGGTGCTGATACAAAGGGATTTTGCAAATGAAACCAAGTTCTCTAATCAGTTGACCTTGATACAGGGAGATTATCCCTGTGAGTCTGATCAAATCACAGGAATCCTTTAAAAGCAAGGAGTTTTCTCTAGCTGATCACAAAGAGACAATTCATGCACCCTTGCTGCACTGGAAGACAGCAAGCATGCATGTTGTGAACAGCCAGTGGGGCCACTGGAAAGGAACTGTAGCCGACAGCCGGCAAGAAAACGAGGGCCTCAGTCCTGCAACCACAGAAACTGAATTCTGCCAACAACTTACATGAGCTTGAGTGAGAACCCTGTGCTCCCCATGAGAACTCATCCCAGCTCACCCTGTTTTGAGCCTTGTGAGACCTAAGCAGAATGCAGTAAAGCCAACCTCAGACTTCTGACCTGCAGAAACTGAGAGATAATGCATGATATTGTTTTAAGCTGCTAAGCGCGTACGATTTGTTATGCAGCACTAGAAAACTGATTCAATTTTCATTGTAGAGATTTGGAAAATACCAAAGAGTTAAGTAGAAGAAAATAAATATCACCCATAATCTCACCACTCAAAGGTAACTGTGCTGACATTTTGGGTGTATTTGTTTCTAGTATTTACAAATTCACATTCAAAATTAGTAACAAACTCTTAATAAATTTTGTTTTCTCTCTCTTGTTCATTAACATTCTGACAAAAGCATTTTCCACATCATCAAATATTCTTTAGAAACCTAACTTTTAGTAATTACTATATACTGTACACATATAAACACTTATTTAATCATGCTTTTTTGGAGCCATTTAGATTTTTATATTTCTTTTTCAATCAACCTTATTTTGATGATTATTATTTATATAAAACTCTAAGTTTATCTCTTCAGTCTTTAAGACAGGTTTCTGGAAGTACTAGCAATGAATCAAAGTTTTAAAATTCTTCTAAGGTCTTGACACAGATTGTCAATTTGTTTTCAGGAGTGTTGCGGGAATACTGGCCTACCAGCAGTAGGAAAGTGCCCAGCTCATCTACTTTTACCTGACTGTATATTGTTGCTTTCAAGAAATTGTGGCAAACTGTGGCATCTCTTTTTTGTTATCTGTTGTTTCATCTGTGTTTCTTTTATTACTAGTGAGATGATCATATATTTATACCTTTATTAGCCATTTTACTTCTAATAGGAATTATTTCTTCATGCTTGTTACTTATTCTTTTCTGTTGGCATTCCAGTGCCTTTTTTTAGTTAATTGACAAAAATTCTTCATATATTTATAATGTTAACAAAATATTTCTGGCAAATATTTTCCTGATTGTCATTTCCTTTGCTGTTTAGATTATCACCTACAGTAGCTTTCGTTCTTCTGTATATCATCTAATATCTTTGTGCATGTTTCCATTGATTTTATTTTAAAAAATGCTTGCCCACCACAATATCAAATAGTGATGTGTATTTTCTTCTGTGTCTAGACTATTCTCCTTTTTACTGTTAATGTAACTGTAATCCATCCCATATGAAGAAAGGTTTCTCATCTGGTGATGGGGCACCTGCAGGAGGACTGGATGAAAAATGCCTATCATGAATGCATGAACTGTACCTTGTTCAGGTCTCCTCCATCATCTCCAGCACAGTTGTATAAATGTTCCTTGAGTTGAAGTGGATTGGATTGATTCAAATGGAATCTCAGAAGCACCAATGAGTCATGCACAAAAGATCCCAGGACGCTGATATTGATAAACATGCTTGGGTCTGATCATATGTCCACAGAAAGCTCACTGAATTGCAATGGGAGGAAACAGCTTTAACGAATGCCTTTATTTTTGCTCTCCCAACTCAGTGGCAGATGCTTCTGGTTCCATACCTCTTCCTTCCTGCCAAATTTGTCAGATGAAGCTGCAGACATGAGGGTCTGTTGCCATTTCGGGATCAAAAGGCACACTTCCACCTGCTGTCATATGTCTGATCCTAAACAGGCACCAGGTGATTGGATGTGACAGACATCATACCCAACACAAAAATCATTTCCAATCACCTGAGAACTATCCACCCCTTCACCTCATGTTCAAACTAGATAGCATCTAGATCTTAACTCAGGATGAATCTCTGCTCCATTGTCTATTTTTCAGGTCACATATATTTCTAACCAAGTGTATGTGATTGCTAATAAAAAACCACAAGCAAACACCATTTAAAAAGGAGAAAGCTATTGAAAATTTATTAACCAGTCGCCCCTTGGTAGTTCGTTTGTAATTTATTAGCCTAATTTGGACCATGTAACTTCCTAAGAGCTGATGTTTTTAGATAATATCGATTGAGGCTGGTCCTATTGTGGGAGAGAGAATGTATGCCAAATACACATCTTTTTAGGAAAAAGACATCATCCCTGCATGGTAGAAAGTTACTGAGAGCCGCACTCTCTCCCTCAATGAGATCCTTCATACTCCTATATTCAACTCTCTGAAAATGTTTATGATGCTTCTTCCATGAAAGTACTGTCTTAGGTTTAATGTTCTAGTTACCACCCAAAAACTCAGTGGTATAAAACAACCATCGTATTATGGTCTTGGATTCAGTGGGTCAGGAATTCAGTCGCAACATGGTGAGTGCAGTTTGTCTCTGCTCTGTTATGTCTGTTATGTCTGAAAATTCAGCTAAGAAGACTGGAATGGCTAGGAATGACTCAGATATTGGGGCCTGAAATTATCTGGAGGCTTTTTCACTCACATGCCTTGCACTTGGCCTGGAATGACACACCTCTCTCTCTCTCACACCTGGGCTAGAATGACCACTCTCTCTCTCTTTGTCTACACACACACAAATATATATGTGTATATATATATATATATATATATATATATATATATATATATATAGCTTCAGAGCTTTCCATGTGGCCTCTCAGCATGGCATACCCATATCCCACGTGGCAGCCCCAAAACAGCTGGACTCCTTATATGGTAGCTCACGGCTCCAAGAGCAAGAACCTCAGTGGACAAGACAGCAGATGCACGGTCACCTATGACACAGCCTTGAAAGTCACATAGCATTACTTCCACCATGCTCTGAGGCTGAAGTTCACCCACATTCAAGGGGTGAGGACCTAAACCCCATCTCCTGATGGAAGGAGTATCAAAAGAAATTATTGCTATTTTTAAAAGCTGAAACAGAGGCAGTCTCTGAGCCAAAGATTCAAGAGTCAGCAGTTCATTTAGGTGGTGGTCCCAGGAAGCACTAGTAAGGACTGGAGAAGTGAGAGAGGAAGGGAACAAAGCCAATTCAAGGTGAATTAACCAGCAGGTTTGCACTGTGGATAACTGGTGTTCAATGCCACTGACAGCCATGTGATGCAGTGCAGAATATGCCCATTAGTTATGTCAGCTAAGAGGCAAAGTTGCAGAACTATTTTTCTACAAATTCATCACAGTCATTGGTTGGGAATTACTTGAGGAAAGGGTTGTAACTCTCTGACACTTTCAGTAGATTCCCATTGCCAGAGGAATCCCTCAGGAAGAAGCAGGTACTTGAAGTTGGAAACTGTGAGGCTGGCATGCACAGGAATGTTGAGAGCAGAGTAGATACGTTTTGGTGCCAACAGCATCTGCTCTGAATTTTGATCACACCTTAATTATAGTGCCAATCATCTAGGCTTGGAATTCAGATGGGCCAGTGTAGCTCCTCCCCTAAACTGTGAATTCCCTGGGGGCAAAATTTCTGTGTCTTTTTCACCTTTCAATAATTAGCACCTAGATTGGAACCTTGCATATAGGAAGTCCCCCAAAGCTATGAACAACAGAATAAAATAAAGAATGCATCCACGTCTTTAATACAAATCTCCCTCCCAATAAATTTCCCTGACTTTCTTGATAGTCTACCTCTTTTCCATATTATGCTGCAAAATCTAAAGACGGCTTCTTCTCCTATATTTACTTGCTCAATAAATGACTGTCATCTACTCAGTCACCAGGGTAGAAACTCTTGACTCATCTTTGACCTCTCTCTCCTCCAGAACCTCCCACACACACATTTTGTTATATCTATATTTGGAAGGTCATTCCATTCCCCCTTTGCCATTTCTCTCTGTTACTGCCTGTAGACCGAATGCATATTGTCTCTTGTTAGATTATTGCTATAACTGTCTGACAGGTCTTATTCCCTTAAATGTGTCCTGGAAATCAAATGCACTCTGAGCATTTGTCAAGTTACAATCCTCAAGTTGTTCCAATACAGGTTGAAAACAAATTTCTTTTTCTTTTTTTTTTGGGGGGGGGGGGAGGAGGATTCCCTATTTAATAAATGGTATTGGGAAAACCGGCTAGCCATATGCAGAAAACTGAAACTGGACCCCTTCCTTACATCTTATACAAAATTAACTCAAGATGGATTAAAGACTTAAACATTAGAACTAAAACCATAAAAACCCCAGAAGAAAACCTAGGCAATACCATTCAGGACATACGCATGAGCAAAGACTTCCTGACTAAAATACCAAAAACAATTGCAACAAAAGCCAAAATTGACAAATGGGATCTAATTTAACTAAAGAGCTTCTGCACAGC
The DNA here is from genome assembly GCF_000001405.40 of Homo sapiens. Lineage (NCBI taxonomy): Eukaryota > Metazoa > Chordata > Mammalia > Primates > Hominidae > Homo > Homo sapiens. The sequence goes on along the minus strand of NC_000005.10, from coordinate 155,642,186 downwards.
AAAAGAAACTATCATCATAATGAACAGGCAACCTACAGAATGGGAGAAAATGTTTGCAATCTATCCATATGACAAAGGGCTAATATCCAGAATCTACAAAGAACTTCAACAAATTTACAAGAAAAAAACAAACAACTCCATCAAAAAGTGGGTGAAGGATACAAATTTCTTATATTTCAATTCTTAGGCAATATAGAAAAAGACAATTAGGTTTTCAAATTTATTCCCCATTTCATCTGTAAAACTCATTTTCTTGGTTTAAACATCCTATAAAACTTCAAACCTCTCAACTTCACTCTCTCTATTTGGGTCTTCTTCTCATGCTGTTCTCTCTTCCCAGAATACCTTTCTGTATCAGTCTCCATCTGACAAATGTTCAACTATTCTATGAGGACCAGTAGATGACACTTTTTATATTAGAAAAACCTCCACCACTAGCCCTAGTTATTAATGACTCCAGCCCTAATCAAAAGTACCCTATTTTGGTACCTTATTTCCTCAATTATAAGACACCATGAATGGTATAATGCAGCATTGATTTGTCATTACATTGTGATAGAATTAAAAGATACTAAATGGCCCATGCAAATTTTAGAAATATTTAAATGTGGGGAAAACTCCACAAAACTATACACCTTATAATGTTAAAAATACGTCACTGCTTCCTTTTCTGTGTTCCCAGAATGCTTTTATGGCTGACCATACCTCCCACTAGAAGTTTTCTTCATGCTCTCAGAAGTCCAGACTTCTAAATAAAATTTCTTCAAATGTCTCTATATATGCTCACTGTCACAGAATATTCTGGGTTAATAATAAACAGATACCCAGCACAGCTCTCAATTTACTGAGAACAAAGGACTATGGTCAAGAGCCTGAAGCCAGTCTACAACTGGGATACAGATTCGCCTATTGGACAGGGATTTCCAGGAAGAGGCCAGTCTGGGAGAAGAGACAATAAAGTGCCCTGAGAGAAAAGAACTCTGAGGAGGCATCAGGGAGAGTGATCCAGACCAAACAGCAGGTTCTCCACCTGAGATTCTGGCTCTCACCAAGAGAGTCTGGCAACCCATTCTTTGTCCCACTAGTCACCTTTGCCCTCTTGTAAGGTAAGAACTATAATATAAAGAAAAAAACTAAATCACTAGCCATCCAACAACCATAGAACTCATCCTGAAGGAGTGATTATAAAAAGGAGTACATCTTTTTTTCTAGTAGCTGAAGAGTGACAAAAGTAGCTACAGTCAATGGCTTAGAGGAATAAGATTGTTGCCAGGTAATGCTCTGTAATGGCCTTGGGGGACAAGGACACAATGGAAGCTAATAGTGGTTTAAACAGTAGAAGGACAGAAAAGTGTAGGCAGCTGAATAAATGATAATCAATGGAAAAGAAGAATGTCAAAAGTGAGCACACCACAGTATAGGGTGTACCTATATAAATGTGACACATCTGTCCAGGTAGAGAAGTCCATGAATATACCAATTAAACTTTACTGCAACCCTATCAACCATATGTCCCACTTCATATTCTCTTTCTGTCCCCTTCTCTATCCCAACACACACACAAAGGAAAATCACTATCACCTACTGGTTCAAATCTTGTGGAGCTCCAGACAGTGAGCAACAATAGAATCCAGAGAGGCTCAGACACAGAGGAAAGGGGAAGAGAAAAGAGGAAGGAGTAAGAATAAAGCACATCTAAAACACAAAAAGCAAGGGCAACAAAAACCAAAATTGACAAATGGGATCTAATTAAACTAAAGAGCTTCTGCACAGCAAAAGAAACTACCATCAGAGGGAACAGGCAACCTACACAATGGGAGAAAATATTTGCAATCCACTCATCTGACAAAGGGCTAATATCCAGAATCTACAAAGAACTCAAACAAATTTACAAGAAAAAAAAAAAAACCCATCAAAAAGTGGGTGAAGGATATGAACAGACACTTCTCAAAAGAAGACATTTATGCAGCCAACAGACAACATGAAAAAATGCTCATCATCACTGGCCATCAGAGAAATGCAAATCAAAACCACAATGAGATATCATCTCACACCAGTTAGAATGGCAATCATCAAAAAGTCAGGAAACAACAGGTGCTGGAGAGGATGTGGAGAAATAGGAACACTTTTACACTGTTGGTGGGACTGTAAACTAGTTTAACCATTGTGGAAGACAGTGTGGCGATTCCTCAAGGATCTAGAACTAGAAATACCATTTGACCCAGCCATCCCATTACTGGGTATATACCCAAAGGATTATAAATCATGCTGCTATAAAGACACATGCACACGTATGTTCATTGCAGCACTATTCACAATAGCAAAGACTTGGAACCAACCCAAATGTCCATCAATGATAGACTGGATTAAGAAAATGTGGCATATATACACCATGGAATACTATGCAAACATAAAAAAGGATGAGTTCATGTCCTTTGTAAGGACATGGATGAAGCTGGAAACCATCATTCTCAGCAAACTATCACAAGGACAGAAAACCAAACACCGCATATTCTCACTCATAGGTGAGAATTGAACAATGAGAACACTTGGACACAGGAAGGGGAACATCACACACCAGGGCCTGTCGTAGGGTGGGGGGAGGGGGGAGGGAGGAGGGATAGCATTAGGAGATATACCTACTGTAAATGACAAGTTAATGGGTGCAGCACACCAACATGGCACATGTATACATATGTAACAAACCTGCACATTGTGCACATGTACCCTAGAACTTAAAGTATAATTAAAAAGAAAAGAAAAGAAAAAAGAAAAGAAAAGCTTTTCAGGTAGTATGGTCAACATTTTGAGAGACTGGAGGTTGAAAATACGTTACAGAAAAGAGGAAGAACGTTTCAGGCAGCACTCGCCAACCATGTGGAGAACGCCGGGAGGGATCAAAAACAGAAGAATGTAAAAATGTTTTCTGTGAGTTAGGCATACTCATACCCCTGTAATTTTTACATGTAAAGTAAAAGATTCATAGTAAAGATTAGAATTATTCTTGTTGGTGTATTTTAGTTCAGCTTGTGTATTATTTTAGTTCCAAAATTTTCATCTGGCTCTTACATATATTGTCTATTTATCTGCTAAGATTTTCCATCTTATCATTCCAGAATATATTTTCTTTGATCTCATTAATAATAGTTAGACCAGCTGCTTTAAAGTCCTTGTCTGCCAATTCTGACATCTGAAATATTTTGGGGTTGGCCTCTGTTGATTGTCATTTCTCTTGAAAATGGGTCACATTTTTCTTATTCTTTATATGTCACGTCATTTTGAAATGTATTCTGGACATTGTAATGTAAGTTGTAGAAACTGGGTTCTGTTACGTTTCTCCAAAACTTGTTGACATTTTTGGTTTATTTGTTTCAGGAGACAATTAACTTGGTGGGAATCCAATTTCAAACTGTGCCCTTTGGGCATCAGCTCAAATTTGCTTAGTTCTTTCACTCCTTAACTGAGAAGTTTGCAGTCTGACAGGCACATGCGTGGTTCATGCATCAGCCAGAGAATTGGAAGAGTTTATACGTAGAATTCAGAGCCCCTCTCTCCGATTGTCTTCTTTCCTGGCCTCACTTCCTAATGACTGCAGTTGCCTGGAACTCTGTCCTATGGTTCTTCAGGCTAGAATGGTTAAAGGTTTTCTATCAAAGTTCTAGATGCCCCATGTGGCACTAACTTGGCCTGCACTCAGGCTAAAACTCATATTAATAGAAAACTTAGCCTATGCTACTAGTCCTTTTTTCTTTCTATCACTCTATGGAACCTGTGTGCTTTTGTTTAATCCCCATATTCATCAGGTAGTTGGTTAAGATATTTTTCCACAGTTTATAGTTGTTATTAGCAGTGCGATAGATCTATAAGGAGCTTGCTTTCCCACATTGAGCTTAACAGATTTTTGATGAATGGATTATGTTTCTTTGTGAAACCACATTGACAAATCCTCATAAGCCAGAATATTTTTATCTAGCAGATGCCCAGACACATTCTTCAACTTAGTATGGGTGGAAACTTAAATCCAAATTACAATTAAGATTCAAAAATGTTTCTTGAAATACATTAGGTTTTCTCTGAATAATAAAAATATAAACAAATCCCAATTAATGAATTTAGAAATGGAATTGATTAAGAAAAAATGAAAGCTGTAATAGGAACAGAACACTGAGCATCACATACTGTGCTAGACCCCAGCAAGGTATTTGCTTACATCATTAGGCTAATGAACCAGAGCTCATTGTGTCATTACAGACATACTCTGCCAACTACTTTTACAGTTTAGGTTTTTCTGATAGAATCACTATTGTTTTTTTTTAATATTTAAATTCATAGAACTTACTTATCTCTCCACATTGTTTTTCACCATTGTTTAAATATGGAAATGTTATGTTTAAAGTCTAATAATCAATACAACATTGTTAACTAAACAATGGATGAAGAAAACTCTCAAGTCCATTCCAAACACAGATCAGAACATCAGAATCAGATTTTTACTTTTCAGTAGGCTGATTGTCATCAAAGGGAAAGTTGCTAGTGCAAAGAGGCATCAAAGATCATGTCACTGTACACAGATCTTCTGTTTGCTAAACATACATTTTACATCCTAAATGATAATTTTTACCTATATATAAATGTCTCTGTATTTATATTTCAGGAAATTATTTGAGGTTTCAGGGTTGATGGATAATGCATTGTAATTTTTCCCATTTAAAATAACTGGAAATATGCTCTAGGCTAGTGTTTTTGTGTAGAACATCTGATTTTTTAAGAACAGGTTAGTAATATGACATTAAGCAGGAGATGCTTATATTTATAAGAATATCAGGGGCACTAAATACTATAAAACGTTTTCAATTTTCCAAATGTATCCATAAAACAAGTACAAGATGTTAATAGGTATCCTAAACATCTCACTTTTCTTGAAAAAGTCTAAAACTGAGGTACTACAGAGTGCAGCCCATATACAGCACAGATACACATTGATACAGTTATATATGCACAAGTACATGTGTGCCATATATTACTCAGCTTGGCATATGAGTATCAGAATATCCTCAAGATTTTTAGACCTGATAGCAGTTTATCTAATAAAAGTTTCAATTATTAAACAGAATGTTTAGCCTCTTTGTCAGAAACATTTGCCTTTGTGTTACTTGCATATGGGCTGCATTCAGGCTGCAGACAGGCTTTGTAAGGCCTGCACCATGGTTTAAAAGTGCCCTTCCAGTTTCCTCTGTATCAACCTGGCTGACTGTATTTATCCTATCTGCCTGGATCATAAAGACATTTGAGTTTGAGACTTTAGATGTAGGATTTGAAAGCAGAGAGATGGGGGTGAGAATACTACCTCAGATTAGGGGGATACTGGGGACCTGTTTCTCTTTAGGCTCTGCTGTCTTCTCTTGCTAAAGGCTTCACAGCCTTCCCTTTCTCAAACATTGCATACCCATGATAAGGATGTGCGTCTCTTTTACTATTTGATAGGGTAAAACATTTTTCAAATGAGAAAGAATATAAAAACAAAAAGATTAATCTGTGTATGTAAATTGCAAGCGAACAGGATTTTTTAAAAACAAACTATAACTAAAAAACAGTATTCTTTTTTCCTTCCCATCCTTCCCTGACCCTGTCAGATGTAAACAAACTCCCACAAAGCCTCCTGCTTAGAAATACAAAAAAGAGAGAAATTCAGGCTTCTCTCCATGCATCCATTGAAGTATAGGACAGTTTATCCTAATAGCATCTTCCTGCAGGACTATTGATGACACACTTGAAAGTGTGCTCCCTAGGACATTTACCTCCAGGTGACTACTCTTGCTCAGCTGGTGGTGATGGCCACATAGTCTTCAGTGGAAGAATGAAGGAACCCCACTTAGCTTCCTCACAGAATCTGAAAACAACCATAGCAAGAACTGGACCTTCACAGCACACCTTGGGCCAACAACATTTACAGCCATAAATTGTAGGATTGAGGAACTGGTTAGAGAATAGACTGGTTCAGTAATAATGCGAGGTGGTCAATTCAATTTATCCTTTTTGTTTGTTTGTTTTGAGACAGAGTCTTCCTCTCACCGAGGCTGGAATGCAGTGGCACAGTCTTGGCTCACTGCGACTTCTGCCTCTCAGGTTCAAGCAGTTCCTATGCCTCAGCCTTCCGAGTAACTGGGATTTCAAGCATGCACCACCACACCCAGCTAACTTTTCTATTTTTGGTAGAGACAGGGTTTCGGCATGTTGGCCAGGCTGGTCTTGAACTCCTGACCTCAAGTGATCAGCCCACCTTAGTCTCCCAAAGTGTTGGGATTACAAGTGTGAACCACCTCACAGGTCAGTCAATTTATCCTTCAAAGTCAGCACTGGAATGAATTGAATCTGAGGCTAAAGTAATGTACATTCATTATGCTAATGTACGTGTAAGTACAATTAAGTGCTTTCATTCATTATCTCATTTAGAGGGCCTGCTCAATCTTCTAATTTCTACAGAGTCTTTCTAATCTAAAAATGCTTATAAATGTTTACACACAAAGATGTTCTGTGCAGTGCTCTTTATAAAAGAAAATATCTGAAAACAACCTAATTGTTCAACTTTAAGGAAATGAACGTGTTATGATACATTCATGCAATGCAATAAAGAAGTTACAGTAGGGTTTCTCTCCACAGCAGAGAATGGTAAAGTTCTTATGAAATGGTGCTCTTAACAATATAAAAAATGCATAGAAACCATTGAAGTGTTTTCAATACCAGGATGACAGGATTGGATTTGTATTTTAAAACAATGACTTTATTCTCTGTATAGTTTTTTGTTCCTTCCAAATTTTCTACAATAAATATGTGATATTTTTAATCTTTAAAAGTTAAAAGCAAAACAGGATGAGAAATAATCTTGGAGCCCTTGTTTTGCAATCTATTTGACAACTCCTTAAAATAAGGCCAAGCCAAGGAAAAACATCATGAGCAAACTTCAGGACCTCTACAAGAAGGCACTGCAGGAAGACTTAAACACCCCCTGGCTTATGCCCTTCAACACAGAGGGTACTTATTTTTATGGGGGTGACAAATGAGTCAACCAAAATATCTCTTGCATGCTTGTAAGTTGCTGTTCAGGAAAATGCTGCATAAACTCCTATCTATGGAAGTGCTCGTCTAATGAGGAGATGGGAAAAGACAGCTGATCTCCATCAACTTTTTTCCTTTTCTGGAGCTACTGATGCCTTGCAGTGACCCTTGTCCTCCTAGGAGAGAAAGCCCCAGTGTCTGCCACTTCCATTCAAAATTGAAAGCTCTAGGACACGATGTATGGCAAGAAGCTCTCTGCAGTTCCCCTGGAACCATCTAATTCTGTTTATGGAATAGGTAGAGGTTGCCTACATGATAGGATTTGGGTAGGGATAAAGGCCACATACACCCCCAAATTCCCTTGACCTTCCTGCCACTATTAGACACCCTATGTTAAGAATGTAGGTTGTGTTCCTCTATATGATAGCTTCCAGAATGTGAGTATACTCAGATTAGAGTTAGTTGACACTGAGTCCTGAGATGATAGCTGCTAGGTGAGAAAAACTGTCAGCATGCAATGAAGGCAAGCCTAAGTCAGATTCTCATAGGACACAAGACAGCAGTGGAAAGAGAAAGCAACACTGCAATAAATTACTGAAATTTGACAACGTTGGGTCCAGTGGCAGAGTGCAAGGAAAAACAGGGGTTCTGAATTTGCTGCTGGCTTTGTTTCCTACACACTCTATGACCTTGGACAAGATAATGTTACAGAATCTTTGGGGTGTCGATTTTCTTCCCGGAAACCTCTGTGGCTGCTCATGCCTTTGCTTGAGTTCTTGTCCTGCATCCAGGAGAATGAGGTACACAGACAAGTGAAGGGTGAACAAGATGAAGATGAGCTTTATTAAGTGTTACAACAGTTCAGAGGAGATCAGCAGTGAGTAGATCTTCTCTGTAAGCAGGTCATCTTTAGGTGTTTAGTTCTCAGTAGAGAGGAGGCCCTGGAGAGGGTAGCTCCTCTCTGCAACTGTTCATCCCAATATCCTCTCAGCAGAGAGGAGGCTCTAGAGAGAGTGGCTCCTCTCTGCCAGCAGGTCACCTCTGCAGCTCTCAGCAGAGGGAGTAGCTCCTCTCTGCGGCTGGTCATCCCATCCTCTCCAGCTATCATCAGAGAGGGTACTCCTCTCTGCAGCTAGTGGTCCCATCATTTCTCTGCCCTCTTCATTCTCTGGCTGTCTTCTGCCCTGCTCTGGCTGAGCCCAGGGCTTTTATGGACCTCAGAGTGGAGGAAGTGCATGCCAATTGGCTCATGGGTGGCCACGGGCAGGCCCAGAAGAGGCATCATGGGTCCCCGCTCCAGTCTACAGGACTGGCAGCCCAGCCCTCAGCCATCAGGCCCTTCCTGGCCTGAAGGTGGGCCTTACTGGGGACCCAACCTTGCCCATCCAGGACTCTGCCTCCTGCTGCCATTCAAGGCCCTGCAGCTTGGCCCCAACCCTGCTCCAAGACTGAGTGGGCACCAGGGTAGAAGAGAGGCCAGGCAGTGGAAGCAGATAACCCGAGCCTGCTGGGACAGAGGAGGGGGCCTTCTTGGGCCCCTGAGGGTGCAGACTGCAGAGATGCCTGAGAGGGTGGCCACAGCTGTACCCAGGGAGCTCCAGTTCCACAAACTCAGGAGGGGTAGGGTTCCTGCTTGTCTCTGGCTCCTGCCCACTCCACAAAGTGGGAGGCCCAGGTCTGCAGCCATGGGTCAGAGAGTTTCAGCTGCATCCAGGAGGGCAGATACTGCCTGTTCCTGCCCCCCTGAAAGAGGACAGGGAGGGTGGGATGCACAGCCACAGTTTGGTTGGCTGTAGCCCCTGGCCAGGAGGATGGACTCCTGCCTGCTCCGTAGAGCAGGAGGCCTGGGTCTGTAGTCATGATTTGGGTGGCTACAGTGGCACCCAGGGAGCTCCACGGAGTGTGCAGCCCCAGCTGTGCCTCCTGGCTGTAGCTGGGAGTTAGTTAGCAACTGCTGCCATCAATACAAAGTCTCTCTAGTCTTAGTTTCCACACATACAAAAGGAGGGTGATAATAACTAAGTTCTAGGATTGGTGCGGTGATTGAAGATACAATTTTATTTTTTATTTATTTTTATTTTTTACATTTTTTGAGACGGGTCTCACTCTGTCTCCCAGGCTGGAGTGCAATGGTGCAATCTTGGCTCATTGCTGTCTTGGCTTCCTGGGCTCAAGCCATCCTCCCGCCTCAGCCTCCCAAATAGTTGGGACTATAGGCACAGACCACCATGCTCAGCTAATTTTTTTTTTTGTAGAGATAGATAAGGTCTCACTATGTTGCCCAGGCTGGTCTTGAACTCATAGGCTCAAGTGATTGGCTAGCCTCTGCCTCCCAAAGTGCTGGGATTACAGGTGTGAGTCACCATGCCTGGCCCTGGAAACACTTTTCCTTTTTTCTTGAAATGGAGTCTCACTCTATTGCCCAGACTGGATTTCAGTGGTGTGATCTTGGCTCACTGCAACCTCCTGTGTTGCAAGCAACTCTTGTGCCTCAGCCTCATGAATAGCTGGGATTACAGGCATGCGCCACCATGCCTGGTTATTTTTTGTATTTTTAGTAGAGATGGGTTTTCACCATGTTGGCCAGGCTCGTCTCAAAATCCTGACCTCAGGTGATCTGCCCACCTCAGCTTCCCAAAGTGCTGGGATTACAAGCATGGGCCACCATGCCTGGCTCTGGAAACACACTTCTAAAACATCTCAAGTTGTTTGTGATAGATAGGGGGCTACAGCTCTACACAACACAGTTGAAAAACCTATTCCCTCATTTAACAGTAAGAAACTGAGGGTGAGGGTCATTGCTCACTCAGTAAAACTCCCACAATTCCACCACCACTGTTATAGCCTTAAATAATGAGATGCATTTTCCAAATAACCCCTAAATCTTCAGATCCTGAGTCATGAGAAAAATACAATTGTGTTGGCTAGAGTTACGAAGACAGGGAAGCATACTCATACATTTTGGAAGTTTTTTCAACAAAAGCTGAAGAGGGAAATTCTATTTAATCCCTCAATTAATCAGAGAAGTAAAATCACTAGAATGTTCCTCTTAGAGTCCTTTAGTTAACTGAGATTTTACTATATTCAGCAGTTAAATACAATAGATTGTCAATGTATGAGACTCCATAAAGCTTCCATACCAAATTGATCTTTTTTTTATTTCATTTGGAGAGCAGGGAGGAGAAAAGGGTTGTCTCAGTTACAAAAGGGTGATCAAATTCCTTAGCTTATAACATGCACAATATATTTCTAAATCATATATGACCTCCCCTTGTTTCCTCCTTTTGGGTTTGCTAATTATGAATTTTTAAATCTTTTCAGTAAAATGAGGTTAAATTTGTTGATACTCCATTCACTAGACCAAATGCACATGCCTGCATGAGTCCACACACACAGCACACACATGCAGGCACTCTCTATTAGAGTACAAAATTCCCAATCAATATTTTAATGTTTTTTTAAAAAAAGATGTCAAGACTATATAAAAGCAAAAACTTACAGATAAACTTCAATGATAGTGTAATCTGATTAAAAGCAGCTAAGATATCTATTTCAAATGGCACTTATTTCTCAGCTGAAGCCCACATTTCCATGAAGGCTGGTTTTGGATCCTCTCTCTGGGGCTGGATTCCTGCCATCCACATACTAAATATTCCAGATACTGCAATGGCCCCAATGTCTCTGCGAATGCTAGTGGCAGGAGCAGTGACTCCACAGTGGAGAAGACGCATGAGAGGGAACACCTAGTTGGGAATTCCACGTCAGTTGATTTGTCACATGTCTGGAATTTCCTGTTTGCTGACTACAGAAATGAGGTTTAGCAAAACAGAAGCAGGTTCATGTGACTGTTTTTTCCATATTGTACCAGCCATCTGTTCCCACATAGAGAAGTTCTGATTAAGGAGGGAAGCCAAGGGAAAACTCCCTGTGTGTGACTCCAGAGAGTCCACTGGCCAGCCTACCTTATGGTACTGTTGGCTTATGTCCTCACAGAGCAATGAATATTTCTGATTTGGACCAGTCCATTCTATTCAGTTGAGGTCCTTGCCCCAGAGGTACACACAGGATAGATGGGGCTCATTTTCCTAGAGTATCAAGTTTACTTGGATATTGAGAGTGGTGAGGAAGAGGGTGGAGAAAAAAAACATTCTGTTTTATATTAAATCAAACAGTATGTGATTGCATGTCACAACATTTTCACTTTCCCCTGCTGTAGAGGAACTGAGAGAGGGTGGGAGCCCAGGAATAAATGGTACCATGAAGAAATGTAGGGTAAGGAAGAAGACAGCCAGGCTGGAAATACGAACATGTCAATTCTAGCCATGGATTGGACACTACCTTGCTGTGTCACCTGGGAAAAATGCCTTTTCTTTGTTGGAAAAATTGTATTACCTTACCATAAAGCTATAATAATTTAGACAACGTAGTACTGGCATATAGACATATAGCTATAGATAGAAAAAACAACTGACCAATAGACCCACACATTTAAGATCAATTAATTTTCTATAAAATTGACAAGGAATTCAATGACAAGAGATAAACTTTCAAACAAATGGTGCTGGAATTATCGGATATGCATAATAATTAAAGTTAAATCTTAGCTCATGCCACATGCAAAATTTTTAACTTGAAATGGATCATAGGCCTAAGGTAAAAGCTAAACTTATAACTTTTCTAAAAGAAAACATAGGAGAAAATATATGCAGCCTTGGGTTAGGCAAAGATTTTTTTTTAAGAAAAAAAGGTAGCAAAAATCACAGACATCAGATATAAAAACATTGACAAATTTGACATCATCAAAATTATAAATTTTATTCTTTAAAAGGCACTGTAAAGAAAATGAAAAGATAAGCCATAGACCAGGAAAAAATAGTTAGAAAACATACATTTGATGAAGAATCTCTTTCCAAGAGATACAATAATGTTCTTACAACTCAACAATAAAATAAAAAAATTATCCAGTTTCCACAAAAAATCTGAACAGACACTCATCAAAGAAGATATATGGATGGCAAATAAGCCCATGAAAGCATGCTCAACATCATTGGTCATTAGGGAAATGCAAATTAAAATCACAATGAGATACAACTCTATACCCTCTAGAATTACTATAATTCAAAAGACTAATCCTACCAAGCATTAGTAAGGATATGGAACTACTGGAATACTCATCTATTGCTAGTAGAAATGCAAAAATGGTACAGCAACTGGAACACAGTTTGACTATTTGGCTTTTATTTTTATTTTTACTTTTATTTTTATTTGAGTCTGAGTCTCCTCTGTTACCTAGGCTGGAGTGCAGTGGTGCAATCATGGCTCAGCCCTGACCTCCTGGACTCAAGCAATCCTCAGCCACCCAAGTAGCTTGGACTACAGGTGTGTGCAAATATGCCTGGCTTTTTTTTTTTTTTTTTTTAGAGATGAGGTCTCACTGTGTTTCTCAGGCCAGTCTTGAACTCCTGAGCTCAACGGATCCTCCCACCTCAGGCCCTCAATGTGCTGGAATTACAGGCATGAGCCATTGTGCCTGGCTCCATTTTTAAAAAATAAAATGAAACACACACTTACCACATGACCCAGCAATCCTACTCCAAATTTACCCAAGAGAAATGAAAAAAATACGTTCACACAAAAATTTGTATGTATATATTCACAGCAATTTTCTTCACAATGGCTAACAATTGGAAACCATGTCAGTGTCCCTCAACTGTTGGAGAAGCAAGTAGATATATTTCCATATAACACTACTCAGAGATAAAAAGGATCAACCAAATGGAGGAAAAGCACTATGCTAAGTAAAACAGATCAGAAGTAGAAGACAACATGCTTTATGATTCCATTTACATAAAATCCTAGAAGAGGCAAAATTAAAATGATAGAAAACTAAAGTGATAGAAGTCTGTGGTTGCCAGGGCAAGAGGTTTGGTAGAGGAAATTAACTCCAAAGGGGAGGAAAGAACGTTTGATGGCAAAGAAAATATTTTTCACTTTTATTGGGTTGGTAGTTACACTACCATATAGATTTGTTGAAACTCCTCAAATTAATTGAAAATTGTTAAATTTTACTGTACATAAATTACACCTCAATAAAGCTACATTTTTTTAAAAGGGGTTGCATTATACAACTTTTAATACCCCTTCATTTCATAAAACATGATCTTTAAGGAACATGAATTTTTGTTTGTTTGTTGTTGTTGTTTTTGTTTTGTTTTGTTTTTTTGAGACAGAGTTTCACTTTTGTTGCCCAGACTGGAGTGCAATGGTGCGATCTCAGCTCACCGCAACCTCTGCCTCCCGAGTTCAAGCAATTCTCCTGCCTCAGCCTCCTGAGTAGCTGGGACTACAGCATGTGCCACCACGCCCAGCTGACTTTGTATTTTTAGTAGAGACGGGGTTTCACCATGTTGGTCAGGCTCGTCTCGAACTCCTGACCTCAGGTGATTCGGCTGCCTTGGCCTCCCAAAGTGCTGGGATTGTAGGTGTGAGCCACTGCGCCTGGCCAGGAACATGAATCTTTTACAATAGGCCTGACCTTTGGCCCTAGAGAAAGACATTATCCTTATTATAACCACTCAGTAAATATGCCTGACCTATGGCCTGGAGGGGGACACCATCACTACCTTTCAAGTTCTTTGCTCTACAAACATCCTTGGAAAGATGATCCGGAACAAAGATAGTCAATGTCCCTGTTTGCAAGACATGAAAAACACCTGAGTGACCCATGGAGAACTAATACCAGTCACTGACGCTTCCCCTGAACTTCCACAGAAGGAATTTTGAGTTCAGAGTTAAAACACCCCAGTTTAAAACCAGGTTAAGTCACTGCTAGCTAGACAAAGTATTTTACTTCACTGGGGCCTCAGTTTCCTTGTCTATTCTATTTTAAATAATAATCGTTGTCTAGGAGTAGTTGGGTGAGCCAAGTAAGATAATATATTTTAAAGTGCTTTTTAAGTTCTAAGGAAATAGCTAAATAATTACTCCACTATGTACTTTTAATATTTCATTCTCTTATATTGTCAGATTCGTTGCCAACTTCTACTTCATATTCTTTCACTGCACTTAACACAAAACTGAGCAGATAGTAGGTATTCAATTAACCCTTGACGATTGCCTAATCCTTTGAGTAAAGAGGTATAGTTGAACTCTCCCTCCAATTTCCCCTTAAAAATTCCATAGCCTCTTTTGTTACTTTTTCTCCTCTGACCACTCTTTCTCAATCACCTTTAAGCTGGAGGGGAGAGGTGAAGATCTAGTTTATTTTCCTGTAGAAGGCACTTGGAATCTTACTCCAGCACCTAATGGGTGGCTACTTCTATCTGTGGCAAGTCCTTAGCAGATGAAGAGATGAGATGGTGTGATGCAGCCAGCATGCTCACCAGGCAAGAAATGTGTTCCCATGCATGGCCAGCACTTAGCATGGTGTTCATGTTCAACAGGGAATAAAAAATGGGACATGAGAAGTTGGTAGAAAAAAAGTCATCCCTTGTGCAATTACCTCTTTTTAAAAAATGCTTTAATGGATCAACCCAAGAAAGCAGTCTCTTCAGTCACTTCTACAATGTAAGTGACAGCAGGGCAGAAACTAGAAAAAGAGATCTGAGTTGGGCCATTTCCCATGGGTGATGGCAGAAGTTATGGTGATAATAATGGTGGTTGAGAGTGACCCAACACACTGAAGAATAACATCTCACATAGAGGTTCTAAACTCAGTGTATAAAGTGAAAAATATGAAAAGTCATGTCTAACCTTGAAAAATATCTCAGGAAGGTGTCACATTGGGTACCAAAATACTGTCTCTTAATGAGTCCAGTATATCCGGCCAGAGTTCCTCAGATGAACATCAAATGATATACTTAGCTTGTAACTACCAGTCATATTTTTTTAACGAATGCATTTTTAAACCCCATATTATCCATGAGAGGCTCACACTGGGAGCACATGGGCACATACACCAATTGAGAAAAAACAGATCCCTGTCTTCCATTACTCCCTCCTCAAGGAGGTTGAAATGACAAGCAAAACTCTCTCCTTTACTTTCTGTCTTTCCCACAACGACTAAACCACTCAAATTAAATGGAAATATGTTGACATCCTGCTCCATCCTTAAGAGATTCTAATTTCCTTTCTTTAAATTCTTAACCTTGCATTTCCATTTCTTGTTTGATTTACCTTAATTCTCATGGAAAACACTGGACACATCGGCAGACAGCTTTTTCACATGTAGGATATATCTAAGATTGATACAAAAGAAGGTCATAGTAAGTCTTTCCTCAGTTACATGATTAATGTACTCCGAGACTTAGGAAAAAGCCAGTAATTGGGAAGGTTTAAGAGTACATCGAATGAATTCATTGCTGTCAGAGACAATTCACCATTTCACTGATGGAGCTAACAGCAGCGCTTCCGAGAGCAAGAAATAGCCATAAATCTAAACAGGAAAATATCCAAGTTTTGCTACCGTGTCACATAAAATATCTCTTCTCAGAGTTAGAGGTATTTTTCAAAACTAAGTTAGAGCCACAGCTGTGAATAAAACCAGGCTTATTCAAGAATGAGTAATAGAGACAACATTTTATAAGACTCCAAATTTGACCTTTCTTGGAAATTCTAATATCCAGCAAGAACTTGTCTTTGAGCTCATAAACATATAATTTCTTTGATTTTCTTCCAAATTTCCAATAAGCTGAGATTGCATTTGGAGGTGGAGAAGTGGAACATTGTGAACAGGAGAGGAACACAGTGATTCCCCTTGAACAGAGGGTGAAACCAGAGGCCAGCGGGCTAGACTGTCCCACAAGTCTGTTTGATTTGGCTGGTACAGTGTGGCCTAAAGAGAACTTAGAAAATGTTTGACTGAATTGCTAACAACAACAAAAAAACAAAGATTTCACATTTAAAAAAAAAATCCAGATTTCCAGCTTCTCTTTGAAGAAATGAAATGATCTGGCAATATTGGATTGATATCACTTCCAGGCAATACGAAGCTTGAGCTGAACAGAGATTGTCCCTTTAGACAGAGCAAGGCAACCTCCAGTTTGTCACAGTCCCCACCACTCCTTGTTATTTTCCAGACACCTGGGCCAAATGTCAGTTTCTCAGTTTTTCTCTATCGAACTACTGTTTTATGTAATAGCACAGTTAAAAGGAAGCAAAAGTTTTGTATTTATGTATTCACCAAATGTGTGTGTCTGGAGGAGGAAGGAGATGTGGAAGGACAGTGAACTCTGGTTCACATGTTTAGGTTACCTGGTCTTTGTAAATATTTGAGTTTTTAATTTCCGACTTTAAATGTTTTCCTCCCTCAGGAAGCCTGTCCCATTAAACTGAGATTCTATCATTTGAAATGTTCCACACCAAAAGGTTTCTTTAGATTCCAATGCAACTGAGATTTTAGAGGCAACTTTTAAATGATTTTGCACAAATCATCCTATAGTAAGTAATTCTGAAAGAAAAACATTTCCACTGTCGTGGGTAAGCACATGGTCTCCCTCACTAACAGACCACCCCTATAATTCACCATCAATGCTGACGTTCTCAAGCTCGGCTGACTTTCTCATCTGAGAAGTTGGGAAAGGAAGTAGACATAGTTACAGCCTCTAATATGCAACCCTCTGAGTGAGGACAGGTTTGCCTGCAATAAAGTAATTATGTAATTGTTACAATAAAATATAATTTACCACACCACTCCAACAGAAAAAGTAATTTTTTTCCTTATTGAAAGGCTCTGACTTTTCAAAAGATTAAAGGTGGTTACTGCAATATTTCTGAGGCAAGAGAAAAAAAAAATGAAGGAATGAATATTGCTTTTAGCACGGCAACACAGCTAAAATGATATGATTGTTGCAAGGACATTGTTCAGAATATTAGACGACTCTAAAGCAGTAACAGACTTTCCATATTTAATATGAGTCTTTGGACAAAATTAAATTTTAGGAACAGTATAAGGTCACACAGTCAATGTGCCAACCTTTTTTACATTTATTTCAATCTCATCTCCCAGGATTGTCACCAGAGCCTTGCCTTCTCTCCGTCTCCATAAATAAACTGTGTTGACTTTTGAACCCACATTCACTCTCTTGGCTTAATTACCTTCCATGATAATGAATGTGCTTCCGATTTCCATAAAGCAGCCCACATGGGAACCTCACTTTTTATCTCCCTGCTTTGCTCATTTACGTAATAATTGCTGAAAAGACAGGAACTCTCCCTCCTTCTCTCCCTCTTTCTCTTCCCTCTCTTCATTTCTTTCCTCCTTCGTCACAATTATTTCTTTCTCTTTTTCCCTTCTTCTCCCCACTCTCCCTTCCTTCTCTTCTTCCTCCTCTTTCTCCCTCCTCTCCTTTCTTCTCTTCCTCCTCCTCCTTCTCTCTCTCTCCTCCTCCAACTCCTCTTTCTTCTTCTCTCTCTCTCTCTCCCCATATGCCTTTTTTCAGTCTTCCACATCCCTTACCATGACCAAGCTTCTGTCTGCTTTTCCTCTCTCGTTCATTCACCACAGCAGCCTTATTCTATTTTGGAAGCTAAGAGATTTTTTCTTCCTGAGGGAAATCACACCGGCTGTTTCCTCAGCCCAAATGCCCCACTCTCAGATCTGCCTTAGCCCCCAGCTCATACATACCCTTCTGGGAGAGGGTATTGCCATGGCCCTCCTTTCCTCCTCCCCCAGCTACTTACCACATCTGTCTTCATTTCCCTCACTGTACTGTCCCTCTGTAGCTATCTTGCTTCTTCTCTATGTACATTTGTTTTGTCTGTCTCTCCCCAGATAGAATTTAAGCACCACGAAGTCAACTGCTGGTTCTACAGGCACTGAAAGAATACTTGTTGATGAGTGAATGGAAAAAGATCCATCTACCCTTTGCAGGTGCTTCCTTTTCTCTTGTAGAACCACTTGAGCATTCCTTTAGAGAGTTGAAATTCCAGTATCATAGGTCTTTTTTGGGGGAAAATTATAGCAACTTATTAGCATTACAATTTTGTATGGTGGTAGGTGTGGAGGGTATCTAAGGCCATGGTTTTCAAATGTCTCATATGCATAATGAACACCCAATGCGGTAAGTGCAAAGCCTGGGGTCCTCTTCCAGAGATTTTGTTCTGGGGTAAAGCCATAACATCTTAACAAGAACTTGGAGCTTCTGGCACAGTCCATGGAGGCTATTTTGAAAAATACCATGCCAGGGCTTAGATGATGGTGTAGACTGAATTAGGTGATGCCCTTTCCCAGAAATGTATCTGCACACAAAAATTTACGAAAGAACCCAGGAGAATTTTTGGAGGAAAGGGAATGGGACATCTACCCTTCAAGGCTTCAAGTTATTAGAAATTGTCTGCTGGAGGATGGGTTGGTTCTGCTGAGACCAGGTCCATTACCAGAGGATTACCATAAACCCAAAGAACCGTCACTCACCATGAGGAAGACTGGATTCTAGGCTAGGGAATGCACAAATGGACAGAGGGCTAGTTCAGGTGACACTGATACCCTTCCTGACCTAGCGTCCTCAGTGGATCTGAATGGAAAGAACCCTTTCTAAATCCCTATCTTAAAGATCTGGAGCAGGGTTTTTTTATTGTTGTTCATTTCAGTTGTGAGAAAATACAAAATACAGTGTTTTTTCAAACCCTGTGGAAGGTAAGGTGAAGAGGGGTCACCCCAAAGCTCTACATCCTCTTGTGAAATACATCTTTCTCATCTATAGCAGGATGATTCTCAGAATGAGCATCTTACAAAAATTTAGGATGAGAAATCTCAGGATCAGACTCCCTGCTCATCTGACTATAATTCAGAGTCAGTATAATTTGAGCATTAAAAGAAATATGACCTTATTTTGTTCTCATAGGTTGCTGGGGTCTGGAGACACTGAAATGCTTAGAATTATAAAATATTAGCATTAGAAAGACCCTAAATGTGTCAGAGACAGGAAAATTGAGGATCGCAAGAGGAAGAGAGCCATCCAACATCACATGGTTGCATAGTGCCAGATGCAAAATTCACTCATTCATTCAACCTTTTAAGTATTTTTTAAAGCATCTACCACAGGGCTAGTTCTTGATGAAAAACAGATAAATTCAATTCAAAAAACATTTATGAAATTCCTACTATCAGCCTGGCACTATAGTGGATATGGGGGACATATCAAGATAAATAAGATGCAGACTTTCTCTTGAGGTGTTCACTGTCTAGTGGAGAAGGGGCAAATTCATAAGGAAAAACCATTGTATAGTGTGATAAATGCCACTCTCAATGAATGCATATAATGGGATCACATCATACATTTAACTTACATTTAAAAAGTCATTCCCTTTATTTATAATAAAAAACAAATCTAACAACACAGATTAGTTTACTTGAGGCAGTTTATTATTAAAATGGAATGTAATAAACCATGCAAACAATCAGGAACACTTTAAAATCTATGTCATTAGTTATTTGGGAAATGATAATAAAGCCACAATGAGATACTACTACACACCTCTTAGAATGTCTAAAATTCTAAGACATGACTGACCATATCAAGCATTGGTAAACAGGTAGAGGAACTGGTATTCTCATACCCTGCTGGTGGGATTAAGTAGTAAAAACGCTTTGTAGAACAGTTTAGAAAACATGCTTACTCCATTTGATTAAAAAAGTTAAATATGGGCTGAGTGCAGTGGCTCATATCTGTAATCCCAGTGCTTTGGAGGGCCAAAAAGGGGAGGATAGTCTGAGGCCAGGAAGTTCAAGACCAGCCTGGGCAACACAGCAAAAACCTGTCTCTACAAAAATAAAATTAGCTGGATGTGATTGCATGCACCTGTAGTACCAGCTACTTGGGAGGCTGAGCAGGAGGACTGCTTGAGCCCAGCAGTTTGAGGTTACAGTGAGCCATGATCCTGCCATTGCACTCCAGCCTGGCCAAAAGAGCAAGTCCCTGTCTCCAAAAAAAAGAAAAAAGTTAAATGTATACCCACCATGTGACTCCTAGGTCTTTATCCAAGAGACAAGAAAGTCAAGATTCATCATTCAAATACTTATATTATACATGAATGTTCACAGCAGCTTTCTGTGTAATCACCCCAAACTGGAAACTACCCAAATATTTATCAACAGGTGAATGGATAGCCAAATGATCACACATCCACACAATGGAATACCACTCAACAATAAAGAGGAATCAACTAGTGAGATACACAACAAAACAGATGAATCTCAAAATAATTATGGTGAGTAAAAGAAGCCAGAAAAACAGCATATGATTCCATCTTCACACAGTTCTAGAAAATGGAAAGTAGCCGTGGTGTTAAAATGCAGATCAGTGGTGACCTGGTGAGCCGTGGGTGGGGTGTGGTGGCAGGAAGGAGGAATTTCAAAGGGGCACAGGGAACCTTTAGGGGATGATGATTTCACAGGTATATTTTTATGTCAAAACTTCTCAGAGTATACACTTTATGCTCAGCTTATCAATAAAGCTGATTAAAAATAAAGACACAATAATAAGTCCTAGGATACCATGTTAAAAAAAAAAAAAAAAACAAAGAAGATCAAGGGGTTTGGAGTTACAGAACCTGACCCAGGGTGGGCTCCCAGCTCAAAACACACCAGCTGTGTGAGCAAGCTCGAGTCTCCCAACTTTTCTGAAATCCTTTTCTTATCTAGCAAATGGGGACAATAATTCTTGTCCTACTATTTTATGGGATGATAATGAGGAGCTATTAGAGGAACAAGCGCAAAAGGGCTTTGTAAAATTTTAAAACATTACACACTGAGTGGTGGCTGTCCTCATTGGCACAGGACTCGCTTATCCCCAGTAGCAGGAAATCTCTCTGATGACCGGTCAGAGGAAAGATGACAGGAGGGCAGAGAGGAAAAAACACATCTACAGGGACCAATGAAGCCACAGCAAAGAGAGGTGCGTTTGATGACAGAAGGAAGGATGGAGGGAAAGGAGCCAGGGAGAGCTGAAACAGCAGCAAGGAGAATTGCAGGTCAGATTCTGCGGGGCTGGAGACCAAGGGGAGGCCGGTGCTGCCACAACAGAGGAAAGAGTGAACCCAATAGATAAGGGAAACAAAAGCAGAGGGCAGAGCCTGGGCTCAGACTAGGACAAAAGAACTCCTGGGAACACAGGCTCGTGAACACAGACTCTGCCTCCCTCCCTGCTGCCAGACTGATCTTCAGTCAACTCAGTCACCCACTTACTCTTGGGAGGAACAAAACCAATCCTGACCAGGGCCACCCCCAGGCCTGGCTTCTGCTACTCCCCCAGCCTCGTCACCTACCACTTCCCCCAGCATTGTGCACACTGCTCTTCTCTCAGCAGGGACCACGGAGACGCAACGCAGGGTCTTCCCTCAGCTGAGACTGCCCTGCTCTCCCCCGTTTGCCTAAACCTCTACTGGTGCATCAGATCTTAGGTCAGCTGTTGCTTTTTTAGGAAAGCCTGTCTTGGCCTTCTAAACCAAATCAGATTCCCCCATGATGCCCTTTCACAGTACCTGACACTGTTCCTCTGCCAACATATCATTGTTGTATTTACATTGTTTCTTGGGATGACTCAGTCAGGGTCTGTCTCTCCCACCAAACTGCAGCCTCCATGGGGACAGACAGCATGTCAGCTTTTGCTCTCTGTTGCAATCCACGCATCTATTACAGACGCAAAACAGGTGATGAATAAAGGCATAAATCAGTCTTGTGAGAAAGACTTTATTTGAAACCTTAAGAAATAAAGAATGAATGATATGTGTACGTATGAGACTAGTCTACAAGGCATAATCTATGATGTGGACATTTTTATTATCCCCATTTTACAGATGAGAACACTGAGGTTCAGAGAGGTAAAGTCACTTGCCTAACAGCACACTGCTCATAAGTGGCACAACCAGGAGGTGACCTGTGTCCTCCTGACTCCAAGGCCTGACCTCTTAATCAGCCCTTTTCCTCTAATTTTAAAAGAAAGGTTGATCCCTAAAACCCTGTCCAGCTCTGCCTTTCCCTGATCCTATAATCTCAAGAAAATTAGCTGGCGATCCCCCAACAAGATAGCCCCCACTTGCAGTCTGCATTAACCTTTCAGATCTCAGAGGCACCTGCCAACATGCCCCTCCAGGAACGACACACTCTTCCACTCCTGAGCTGAGAACTGAGAAGAATTACAATCCAATTGACTCCGCAGGCTAAAAGAAGCACATGTTTAGCTTGCATCAGCAGTGCTGACTCTAAATTAATATTTTGACATCAATCTTCATCCACCATGTGGCAGCTCAGAGCTGTGTCCTCCCTGGGTAAGCCTGGGGCAGCCGGCTCCAGGGAGCGGGCAGGGTCAGAGGAGCCCCGACCCCCTGAAGTCTAATAAAATTGCTTTGCCACATAGGAAACTGCTGCTCAAAGAGAGCCTCTCCTTTCAAGTACACAGGCTGTCCCCATCCCTGATTCCTGAGTCTTCAGGGGAGGTGGTGTAAATGGAAAATTTCCCCCACAGTCAGAATTGGTTGGAGAGTGGTCAGTCATTCGGACATTTGTTAATAATTTATGGAGGTCTACCAGCCACCCAACATATATATCAGATTTGCATCTTTTTACATGTTTATTTTTACTTTTTTTTTCTTTTTCTTTTTTCTGTCGGGGGGTGGGTGGTGGCGGTGAGGAGAATGTCTCACTTTGTTGCCTAGGCTGGAATTCAGTGGCATGATCACAGTTCACTGCAGCCTCAACCTCCTGGGCTCAAGCAATCCTCCCACCTCAGCCTCCCAAGCAACTGGGACCACAGGTGTGCACCACTGCACCTGGCTAATTTCTAAATTTTTTGTAGAGACAGGGTCTCCCTATGTTGCCCAGGCTGGTCTTGAACTCCTGGGTTCAAGTGATTCTCCTACCTTGGCCTCCCATAGTGTTGGGATTACAGGTGTGAGCCACTATGCCTGGCCCAATTTGCATATTGTCATGGCCACAGGAAGATCTAGTTTTAGTCTAGTGTCTGTGGAATGGGATGGGAAATCTAGGTAACAAAATCTATTAAGTGTCTCCCATGTACCAGTCATCCCTGTCTCAATGGATTCTCACAATAATCCATCTGGGTAAATATTATTATCCTCATTTTATTGACAATAAAACAGTCTAAGAGAGGTTAAGCTACTCAAAGCCATGCAGGTAGAACAGGCAGGATTAGATTTAAATCCAGGTTTGTCTGGTGCCAGGTCTACCTAATGTCTAATGTCTATGGGTTTAATAACCAACAGTTGGAACAAAGAGTCTAACACAAATTTTACAAAGAAATAAAAATTCAGTTATATCTAGACATACATTTAGTGAATCACATTTGTGAAAAGGATACTATTAGACCAGTGCCATTCAGAGAATGATTCACAGATTGATGCCAGTCCATGACCTGCTGGTTACCAACCTACTGTGGTAAGTTTAAAACTAGGAGAAACCATTGAGAGACTTGGATAACAAGTTGACGTGGGCATAACATCCAAGAATGTGATCATATAATTCATTGTTAATGTATTTTGTAGAACTACTGATCCATAATAGATAGGAAATACAATTTCTAAGTGTTCCTTCTCTACAAACAGCTTCTGCACAGCACCGAACTAGATGAAATTGGGTCTGTGGGTGTGGTATCATTTGAGGTATACTACAGTGAGTACTTTATCAAGTTCAAGGGTGAAGCCTCTTACAGACTCACCATTGTCAATCATATTCCAGCTTTTCCATGCTGTGTGACCTTGGGGAAACTTCTCAAGTTCTCTCTGTAGAGAGAGATAATAATGGTGCTAAACTCCTAGGATTACTGTGTGAATCAAAAGAAAGTATCTACGTGAAGTACTTAGTACAATATCAGGCACAAAGCAGTCACTCAATAAATGCTAACTGCTGCATTTATTGAGTGTTTACATTAAGCCAAGATAAGTTGCTGATTATTATTATTATCACTTGTCTTTTATTGACATCTGTTTTGTCATTAGAATGTATTCCTTTGGGTTATACTAGTAGCCTTATTTTGAAAACAAAATATCCCCTCCCATCCCCTGCCCCAAAAGAAAGGTATTTAATCATATCAACTCATTTACCACTAAGGCAGTGATAAGTGGGGAAAGAGAAGATAAAGAAAATGAGAAAGACCCTAAGGGCTCATGGGGATAGGGCAATGCTGGGGATAGCCTGTGAAAAATAATCTTGGTAAGGGAGGATCTTGAAATATGAAATTCTGGAGACATGAAAGCCAGGGATGAGGCTAGGTGGCATTTTGGGAGCATTCTCTTGAAGAAGGCAGAGGAGAACAGACATTCAAATGAGTAGCACAGAGCATAGTTAAGAACCAGAAACCTGGAGCCAGACTGCCTGGCTTTAAATCTTGTCTTTTCCATTTAGTAGCTGTGTGACCTTGGACAAGTTACATTTCCCTGCTGTGCCCCAATTTTTCCACCTGTAAAATGAAATAAAAATAGTACTAACCTCATAGGGTGTGAGAAGTCAATGGAAGTATGTGCGTATATATACACACTTGTTCTTACACTGTGTCACAAATTAACAGCAGGAAGTTTGGAGAGAGCCGTCTATGGTTAGAATGTTCTGTTACCACTACTACTAATGACATTAATTATAGCAAATACTCTATAGCTCTCACTAGGTGTCAGGCACATATACATATACATATTTACACACCTACGTACATACACACCACACACACACACATATACATATGAACCACAACATTATCACCCTAAAAATGCATTGCAGATCATGCCAAAAATATTCAGGGCTCCCTGACGACTTGCAGGACAAAGCCTAAACTCTAGATGAATACTATGATCCAACTCTGATTAAATTTGAGGCCACTGGAGGCAAGTGATTTATCTACATTTTAAACGGGAATCAAAGATAATTTTTAATCAAAGTCTGGTTTTATTTTAATCGGAAGCTATTTTTAAAAGACTAAAAGGCTAAAACTCCAATGCAGGAATTTCAGGAATCTTATGAAGGGAAAGGAAGATATTTTGGAATGGTGAGGAAAGAGGGGACTTACTGTTGCCTCTCAAACCATACTAGTATCTTCTGCCTGCTTGTAAGGTGGGCTCCAACCAGAAGATTGTGGTGGTGTCCTTAACCCCAATTTGTCAATACAATCACACCCCCAACCCAGTCACTTGGTGACCCCTGCTGGCAACCCCTGGGTAATACACAAGTGGTGCAGGTGGTTCATGAGCCCTCCTGGGAGAGTATTTTTGACCCAGTAATATGCCTTTGGGTACCCATTGCCCAGATCTTGCTTGCTTTTTCTATGATTTTCCAGTAAAAAAGAAGCACGGCCCCATGGAGAAATGGCTGATCCCATGATTCCAGGGAAAACACATGATGAGCCTGGAGCACCTTGCAGTGTCTTAAAGATATGCTAAAAACAAAAACTGCCTGCACCCTGCACCCCCATGTTTATTATATCACTTTTCACAGTGGCCAGGATATGGAGTTGGCCTAGATGTCCATGGACGGATGAACGGTTGAAGATTGTCTTGTATATGCACAGTGGAATACTGTTTAGCCATAAGAAAGGAGCCCTGTTGTTTGCAGGAGCATGATGGAACTGGATGGAGGTCAATATGTTGAGTGAGATGGGCTGGGCAAAGAAAGACAAATATCACATGGTCTCACTCATATGTGGGAGATAACAAATTGATTTCATGGAAGTAGGGACTGAAGTAGTGGCTGCCAGAGTCTAGGAAGTGGAGGGGGGTGGTGAAGAGAGGTTGGCTAATGGACACAAGCAACCAGTTAGAAAGCAGTAGTAAGTTCTAGTGTTGAATAGCACAGTAGGGTGACTACTACAGTTAATAATGAATTAAAGTTTATTTCCAAATAGCTGGAAGAAAAGATTTGAAATGTTTCCAACACAAATACATGATAAATGTTTGAGGTGATGGGTAAGCTAAATACTCAGATTTGATCATTATATCTTATATGTATCAAAAATAGCATATGTGTCCCATGAATATATACAATTATTATGTATCAATTAAAAGGGGGGAAATAGCATAAAATAAAATGAGAAGAAAAAATTTCAGAAATCATAGAACATTATCTCTGGCCCCACCACCAGTACCCTATGTGCAACTTTTGGTAGTATGAAACTTTTTTGTTTTTGAGAAATCTTCAAAGAATTAGATTCCAGAAGCTTCCCTCAGTAGTTCTTTCTAGCATTAAAGCTCAGGCTGTGTCTAAACCTAGCTGAATTCAATTGAAAACTCATATTTATTTAGGAAACAAACCCCCATACATAGCATGGGTGCCAGTATTTCATGTAAAAAATGTTCATCCATAAACATAAAGTACTTCTACTTTTAAAACAAAAGAAAAAGAATGGAGACATGTCAAAGAGATTCAGAATCCAACCTGATAGAGCTCCTAATGTCCAAAGCTGGAAGAATTTGAACCCAAAATAAGTAACATGGTGTTGGATTATAACACAAGTATAAAATAAATATAATGATTCATGCTGATATAAATAAAAGATTGAGTTAATGAACAAGAAGTAAATAAGAAGGGGAAAAACTTCCTTATAGAAAAATTTCAAATAATATAGGTATATATTATTATTAAGCTCTAGGAAGTAAAGCTTAATCTCTCACCTTCTTTGACTATAGGCTGAACTTGGTGACTTGTATTCAAAGAAAAGAGTATGGAAAGGGGAAAAAATAGTAACTTTGCTGTGGAGAAATCTGGTAAATACCACCATAACAAAATGATCGAGGTTAACATCACCAGCAAAGAGTTATGTTAATATTTTGTACCCCCTGATGTGATATGATGAGAAGGGCACTTCATCTCTGTGGCATTCTTCCCCAGAATCATTACCCTAGTCTAATCGTGAGGAAAGCATCAGACAAACACATACTGAGGGCCACGTTACAAAAATGTAAAACTGACCAGTATTCCTCAAAATGGCCAAGGTCAAGTAAAACAAGGAAAGATTGAGAAACCATTATAGACCAGAGGAGGCTGGGGAGAGACATTACTACTAAATGCAATGTGGCATCCTTGGTTCTCTCCTGGGCCAGAAAAAGAACAGTAGTGGAGAAATCTGGTAAAATCTGAATAAAGGCCTGAGTTTAGTTAAAGGTATATAATGATGTTGACAAATTTACCATGGCAAGGTGAGATTCTAACACTAGGGGTAACTGGGTGAGGCATATACAGAAACTCCTTCTGTTATATTTGCAAATTTTCTGTAAACCTAAAATTATTCCAAAATTTAAAATATATATATATATATATATATATTGTGTAATAGCTATTGAGGAGGCTCAGAGCAAGAGAATTCAGTCTCCTGGGTGCTGGGAGATTTCTGAATAGACTACCAGGTAACTCATCAGGACCTTGTCTCTGTCTGGAGAGTGAGGGCCTGGGTGGGGAACCAGCAATGTTACAACAGGCTGGCCATGAATCCATGAAAGCACCTACCCAGCCAGTCAGCTCATGAGAGGAAGCAGAAGCTTCATATGCTCTCTGGTGGGCTGACCCACAGTCCTTCCACAAGAAAAAGAAAAAGCTTATCAATGTGTACTTGTGCTAAAAGACCATAGCAAATGGTCCTATTTTCTTCTTTATTTTATAGAATTTTTCACAATATGGAATCTCAACGTGTTTCCCAATAGCCTAGTATTCAAGGGGGGAAAGAAAGAAGGGAAAGGGGGAGTGCCAGGAGAATCATATTATAATTTAATGAGACATGACTTTCCAAGATGGCACAATGGCAATACTATTTTTGCCATTGACCCCTCTTCACTGGTCAAACAAAAACATTGTCCATTAGAAATCAGACATATAAATAGATATCTTATTTGACCTATTGTTAGCATTTGACACAGTTGATAACTCATTCCTCCTTAATACATTTTCTTCATTGGCCTTCAGGACAATATGGTGTCTTGGTTTTTCTTCTATTTCACTGGTCAGTCCCCAGTCTCATTTGCTGTTCCTTTCTCCTCTCACCAACATTTAAACTAGGGCTTAAACCTGTTTCTCTTATCTTTCTACAGTCACTTCCTTGGTGATATCCAGTCTCATTGGCATCTAGATGCTAAAATGTTCCCGAATTTGTTTCTTCATCCCAGATGTCTCTCCTGAACTCCAGACTCACATTCCAAATGTTTACTGGACATCTCTACTTGGATGTCTATCAGAATTCTCAAACCATACATATCCAAAATGGAACTACCAATCTTCCTCATTGCCCCAGCCCCCACCCAAATTCCTGTTCCACTCACAGCTTTCCCATCATGGCAACTCGATTTTTCCAGTTGTTTGAGCCACAAATTTTGCAGTTATCTTTGACTTTTCTCATTCTCTCACAACTCATAGGAAATCTTGTTGGTTCTTCCTTCTAAATACCTAGAATCTAACCACTTCTAACTGCCATGGCTGCCACCCTCGTCTGGTCTGAGCCACCATCACCTGTTGCCTGAATGACTGCGACAACTCCTTACTGATGTCCCTGATTTGCCCCTCCTAGAGTCAACTCTCAGCCAGCAGCTAGGATATGTTAGATTATGCCTCTTCTTTGCGCAAAACCCTGTAATGGCTCCCCATTTCACTCAGAGTAGAAGCAGAAGTGCTTACAAGACCCCATGCGATCTGCTCTTGGGATCTTGGGTGCCTCTCTGTCCTCTAGTCCCTCCCTCCCTGGCTCACTCTGCTCCATCCATGTTATCCTCCTCGATGTTCCTCAAGCTTCCCCTAGGGCTTTTATGTGGGCTATTCTCCCTGCCTATAACTCTTTTCCTGCAGATATACACACAGAGAACTTCTAGTCTTGGCTCAAATTGTAGGGTTACTAGATAAAAATAAAGGACACCCATTGAAATTTGAATTTCAGATAAATAGTGACATGGACATGCAATCTTGAACATACTATGTATACTAAAAATTGTGATTTATCTAAAATTGAAATTTAACTAGTATCCAGCACTTTTGTTTGCTAAATCTGGCAATTCTACTCAAATATCATCTTATCAATGATGCCTATCTCCATCTTCCTCTCTAAAATCCTACTTACCCTTCTCACACTCGCTTTGCCCTTTTTTTGATATACAACCTAACATGTTATACAGTTTACCTATTTATCACCTTAATCTTCTGTTTCCCTACACTGTCATGTAAAGATTCAGAGAAGGAAACATTCATTGATATAACCCAAACACCTAATACATGGCAGGCACATAGTAGGTGCTCAATAAAAACTTGTTGGACACATAAATATCTTAAGGGATTAAGAGTTATTGCGCTTCTGCATCCCAGCAAATATTGTAGTAGGTGCTTGGGATCCTCGCAATAACCTTGCAGTACATGTTATCTTTTTTCCACAGTCAAGGCTCAGGGAGGTTTGGTAATGTCTCAAGGTCACACAGCTAGTAAGTTGCAGTTCTAGGAGATAAATGCAGTTCTGCCAAACTCAGCAAGCCATTCTACTTTAGCTGTGCTGGGAAAGGATCAGGCAGATCTCGTCAAGGGGAAGTTACTTATTTATTTATTTTTGGTGAGAATTTATACATCCTTTGGTGAGAACCAAGGATGCCACATTGCATTTAGTAGTAATGTCTCTCCCCAGCCTCCTCTGGTCTATAATGGTTTCTCAATCTTTCCTTGTTTTACTTGACCTTGGCCATTTTGAGGAATACTGGTCAGTTTTACATTTTTGTAACGTGGCCCTCAGTATGTGTTTGTCTGATGCTTTCCTCACGATTAGACTAGGGTAATGATTCTGGGGAAGAATGCCACAGAGATGAAGTGCCCTTCTCATCATATCACATCAGGGGGTACAAAATATTAACATAACTCTTTGCTGGTGATGTTAACCTCGATCATTTTGTTATGGTGGTATTTACCAGATTTCTCCACAGCAAAGTTACTATTTTTTCCCCTTTCCATACTCTTTTCTTTGAATACAAGTCACCAAGTTCAGCCTATAGTCAAAGAAGGTGAGAGATTAAGCTTTACTTCCTAGAGCTTAATAATAATATATACCTATATTATTTGAAATTTTTCTATAAGGAAGTTTTTCCCCTTCTTATTTACTTCTTGTTCATTAACTCAATCTTTTATTTATATCAGCATGAATCATTATATTTATTTTATACTTGTGTTATAATCCAACACCATGTTACTTATTTTGGGTTCAAATTCTTCCAGCTTTGGACATTAGGAGCTCTATCAGGTTGGATTCTAAATCTCTTTGACATGTCTCCATTCTTTTTCTTTAACTCTTTAACAAGAGTTCCATTTGGTGTGTGGAGCCCATTTAATTTGAGAAAATGATCCTCAGATGACTGTTCTTGGTTTGCACTAAATGTCATTTTGCAGATGTATGGGACAGAATGCAAGTGATTGCTCTCCACAGCTCTGTGGGCTCTTGTCCTATATCAAAACGGTTTTGATTCACTCGCCTTCTCTCATGTTCAAAGCACACATTTGTTAAATTGTTTCAAGATGTCTCCAAGGTACAATTTTGTTTTTATAGTTACTGTCATCCCAAACTATTTAATGTTAATTTCTTACAACCTACTCCACTGTCAGCTTGCCTCATTGTTGATATTTATTTCCCAGCTAAATGTGCATTTATTTGTTGACATTTTTATTAAATTAGACCATAGTAAATCTGTCAGTGTTTATATCTTCTTTCCCTTTGTGCTCAAGAATTCAAAGTAAGTTGATGTGTTTATTAACTGGCTGACCAGTTGCCCTGAGCAACAATAAAGGGTAAGTGCTGTGATGTTAAACTATGGCAGGGGGTTGGGGGAACCCTAAAACCCCCTGTGATGTCTTGGCACATCTTGAGGTCCAGGACTGCTTCTGATGCCTTTGAATAAGGACCTCCAGAGAGATGGTCAAAGAAGACATCACTGTCCATCCTGTGCATCACTGAGAACTTGAAAAGGAGCATGGGATACCAAGAGAAACCTTGAAGAGTGCATAGGGAGCCTAAGAAATGACCTCTGTCTCCTGTTGCCTGATCAGAAAGTGTAATAGAATGATAAAGAACACAGGCTTGGATGTCAGACAGATCAGAGCTTGCCAGCTTGCTATCTAAGTTTGGGTAAGCTACTTAAATTCTCTAAGCCTGAAATATCTTATTTATATATTGGAGTTAATTATAATATCAACCACATAGAGTAATTATAAAGACCTAATGAGATAAGACACATATATGTTTAACATCATGCCTAACATAATGTAACTGCTCAAAAAATAGTGAGTGACTGCCATTATTATTTTCTTGCTTCGCTATAGAGTCCATTTTCTTCCCCTACCTAGTTCTGTCTGATTTCTGCTGCCATCCTGTATTACATTTGCCTATCCTGAATTACCTGCACGGGAGCAGTGATTCAGAATTATGACTTAGCCAAGTCAAACTTGGATTGCCTTCTTTCAAATTCAGGCCAAGATGCTTCCAGTTCACTTAAGAGAAATCTAGCAGCATAGAGTACTAGAATGAGCCCAAGCTTTGATGACAGAGGACCTCCCTCACAGGCCCTAGTGATTTTTTCAGAGTTGCAACAGCTTAAGCAAGCCAGATCAATTTCCCAGAAACTCAGTGTGCTAATCCATAAAGTGGGGACAATATCTTATCAGCCTGCTACCTCCCATGTAATCACTTAGTAAGCTGCAAAGTTTAGACAGATATTCATGAATATCTTTTTCAGCAATTTAGGCTTTATGGGAAATGAGGGAAGAGAAATTTTTGTTGGATCCAAATTGAAGGTATAAATGAAGAGGACAATGATTATGTTCTGTAGTTACTGGGATGATCTTGGCTGGCTATGAATTTGGGAGGCAGTAGAATGAATTGATAGTGTCCTGGGGACTTTGCAGACTTATGTCACGTTATTAGGTACATCTTCAAATCTGATGCAGGATGAAAAATACAGTTTGCTATGAGTGGCTTCTAGGAATTTGGTTTTACTTTAATTTTCTACTAACTAAACAATATAATGCCCAATCAAAAGTTATATAGAATTAATGCAGCTAAAGAAGCATGTTATTGCTCCATCAAATGCACCATATTACTCTACCTAGTACCAACAATGAGAATATAATTGATTTAATAAGAGATTAGCTTCCTTAGATGTATCTAAGGTTTCAGCCATTGCCCAGCAAATTATCTGCTTAAAAACACATGTGCCAATATTAAGTCCTGAAACCTAAACTGTATAAAAGAGTTATGTAAAACAAGTATGAAGGGAAAGGAAACTGCAATAAAAGGCTTTGAGAGGCAGTGTAACATACCAGAAAGAAGACTGGATTCAGAATAAAAAGTCTTGCTGCACAAAACCTCATATAAGCCCTGACACTTGGTTTATTCATGCATAAAAAGGGCACTATCTACTTCTGGGGCTATTGCATGGATCAAGTATATATTATATGAGAAAGTGTTTTGGGAAATCCAAAGTGGTACACACATGTAAGAAGCTGTGGAAACAATGAAATAAATTAAAAAGTCAAGACCTTGGTTGAGAGGATTTCCAACCCTCCATTCTTTCCTAGAGGTGGCCCCCCAGCACAGTGAAAATAGCCCTGAAGTTAGGGTCAAAAACCAGATATGAGGTCCATGTTCACTAATTAATGGGTATATGTTTTTAATCTCTCCTTGAGGGCAGGAGTTCTTCCTACAGAAAATGGAGACAACTCTTTCTTACTTCACAAGGTTTTGGTAAACTACATTGATATAAAGTATGAAAAACATATTTTGTAGAGTGCAAAGCACTACAAAATAAAAGCAAATATCTTCAGTAACATTGTATTTTTTTATAGAATCCAGTGGAAAACTACTTTATCTTTTCTTTTTCCTTTTGATATTGTCTTCATTCATCCCCCTCCACCCCGTTTTCCCTAGAATTTAACTCTACTAGAAATTTATTGTAATTTGTGCATAAAAGCAAACTATTAGTGAGCACATGAAATTAATGTGTCTTGCATTGACTGTGGGGGTCATTTTGATTGTCCATAACAACTTGATGAGCCTTTCTAAGATATACTCCATTTTTCCAAACTTCTCAAAGCTGATTTTTTTCTACCTCACCAGTCCCCATTGATCGCCTTATTACTAAAGTTACTAGCTTCTCTCTTGGAATCAAAGCTACACTTCTTACCATGACCTGCCAGCCCCACACAGAAAGCCCTGCCTCTTCCCTGGTCTCACTTCCCATCCCACTCTTCTTCTCCAGGCAATCTGCCCTTCCTTATCTATCCTTCCAACACATCATACATGTTCCTTCTCAGGGCCTTTATATCCAATGACATTCTCCTGCACCTGTAACACACTTCTATAGATTTTTCACTGGCCTGCTTCCATTCCCTCCTCCAGTCTCAACTCAGATATCACCTCTTTGGCAGGGCTTTCTTTGGTCACAGTGTACAATAGCCCCAGGACTCCAGTCTCTCTGTGCTATGTTGCTTCATTTCAGTCTTCTTTCAACTCTACACAATCCAAGTCAGTGGTTCTCAGCCAAAGGCAACAGTGTCACCTTAGGGGAGGTTTGGAAATGTGTGTGGACAGCTTTGATTGACGTTTAGTATCACTTAGCCTCATCCACTGGCTGCCAGGATGACAGTTAATGGATGCGGCTGCGTGACCGTGATGTCTGGGTGGATGTGCACATGGAGAACCATCCCCCCACAAAATGCTGAAAAATACTGATTGACTTTCCTATTATGTGTTGCCCCCATTTTGAATGTAACCTTCTGTATTAGTTTCCTATTGCTGCTATGACAAATTACCACAAACTTAGCGGCTTAAAACAACACAAATGTATTATTTACAGTTCTGGAGGTCAGAAGTCTAAAATCAACAGGCCTGTGTTCCTTCTGGGCACTTCCGGGAAGAATCCAATTCCTTGCCTTTTTCAGCTTTTAGGAGCCATCTACATCACTTCGGTCATGACCTCTTCCTCAAATCATTCTAATATCTTTGCTTCCATTGTCATTTCTCTTACTAATGACTCTTACCTTTTGCATCTCTCTTATAAGGACCCTTGTATTACATCAGGCCCACTGGGTAATACAGGATGGCTCCCTTGTCTCTTAACGTAGTTACACCAGCAAAGTCCCTTTTGCTACATAAGGTAACATTCACAAATTCTAGGCATTAGGATGCAGACATCTTTGGGAACCCATTACTCATCCAACCATAGCTGCAAATGAATAGGAACCCTGTCTTGTTCAATGTTATAGGCCAGGATCCTAGCACAGGTTCTGACGCACAGAGGTGCTCAGAAGATATTTGATGCTGGGTGAATCAATGTC
Source organism: Homo sapiens (assembly GCF_000001405.40). Lineage (NCBI taxonomy): Eukaryota > Metazoa > Chordata > Mammalia > Primates > Hominidae > Homo > Homo sapiens. The sequence continues at coordinate 155,607,850 of NC_000005.10, read as the reverse complement.
AAGTCAATACAGCAGCCTAGTAAACATGTCTGTGGGCAGGCTCTCATATGAGTACTGCCATATAAAATAAAGCTACAGTTTATAACAATGTTGTTCTCCTTTACAGAATATGGATTTATTCATATTGAAAACTGTTTTACAACAAGTAGAGTTCTTACTCAAAATCTGCGTGGTGATTTTGTCAGAATCTGCTTCAACTCTGAACTTTCAGAATAAAACTTCCCACAAGATACCCAAAGCAATAAATCTTTTCACTGGATGTTTTCACAAGGAATTGGATGTTAATAAGGAAAGGGAGTTAATTCTGCTAAATAATGCCTAATTTCAAAATGGTATAATGAACATTAGTGTTTGAGGCAGTTGGTGTCATAAAGCTTTCCCCTTGGAGGTTGTGTCTGGAGGAATATAATATGTCTTAGTCCATTTGTGTTGCTATAACAAAATACCTGAGACTTGTAATTTACAAACAGTAGAAATTTCTTCCTCACAGTTCTGGAGGCTGGGAAGTCCAAGATCAAGGCATTGGCATGTTCAAAGTCTAGTGAGGGCTATTCTCTGCTTCCAAGATGGTGCCTTGTCACTAGATCCTCTTGAGGAAATGTATACCGTGTCCTCACATAGGAGAAAAGATGAAAGGGATTATGCAGTTTTCTGAAGCCTTTTTAATAAGGGCATTAATCCAATTCATAAGCACAGAGACCTTTCGGCCTAATCACTTCCCAGAAGCCCTACCACTTAACACCATTGCCTTCAGGTTTCAGTTCCAACACTTGCATTTTGGAGGGACATGTACATTTAAACCATAGCATAACAATATAATGTAGATTATCCAGAGAGCATTGCATGGAACCCAACCCTCAAACCAAAATATTTGCAAGTTTTGTCCTTTGGAAATTTTTTCTTGGCTCAAACCGAGAGGAGTATGGCATTGCATAAATTCCTAAGGCCAGTCTGACACATACAATTGACAAACCTATCCTTTCTGTGTGCCTTGATACCCACCTCTTATGTTCTTTGTGCTGAACAGGGGTTGAGGTCTCTGCTGTATAGATGAAGATCAGAGCTCAGAGAGTAAAAATAATAAAAACAGCAGAGGCAGCACCAGTATTAGAAATTAGATCACCTGGCTTTCCAGCCAGGCCTCCCCTTTTCACCTCACTGCAGACAAATATGCCCGTGCTCCTTCCAAGACAGGATTCTCTGAGCCCAGGGGAATGTCAGAAAAGGGCTCTTTGCTGATAGAGAATTAGCAAAAATCAACTGTGGAACTAAGTTATGGGGGAAATGGTGGTGTCTTGGCATTCTCAGACCCAGCATAAAAAGGGGTACTAGAACCTTCTAAAATCATTCTAATCTAAATCAAACAGGGTTGCCTTAGTAGCAAGTAAAATGAATGCAGAGGTGGGAAGAAGGGAGTGATATGGAGAGATGGGGACACTCGAAGTGAATCATTGTCTTCATCAACTACCACATGTATCAAAGGGAAATTCTCATTTATAGAGCAGATTACATTTGCTGCTAACTTCAGCAGGCTTCTGACAAGCCACAGAAGAATAATTCTTTTTTATGGAAATTCAATCTAGTTTGATGCTTGGAAGCATGGGCCCATCTAAAATGGTAGGTGACAGGAGCAGCAATGCATCAGGTATCTATTCAGGCATACAGGGCCTGAGCCATGGGCCATTTCCACATGAGCACTTGATAGTCAGCCCTCTCTCGCTGTCACCATGGAAGCAGTGGGAAATCATTAATGCTTTTACAGACACTTTAGGATTGGGGCCAGGAAATAGCCTCTTCAAATTGTGTACTGGAGGCCCTTCATGGTTAATTCAGACCAGCACACTCAGCTGATGGACTGAGGGTTTTGTACAGAGAGCTTGCAGGTTGGAAGAATTCTCTCTCTCATTCTCTCTCTCTCCCTCATTCACAGCCCCAGAAATACAATGCTCTTCTCTTTTGCAAGGCAGCTGGGGCCCAGAGGGGAAAGTAAGCATAGAGAGTCAGGATGCCCAGGTTTGTGTCTGGACTATAACATCCCATCACTCTTAACTTGGAAAAACACATGTCCCTCTTCAGAATCCATTTCCTCATCTGTCACATAACAGATGTAGTGGGCTATGGTGTTTATTGTTCTTTTGTCTTTTCAGAATTCACTCTTATCCTCTTTATTTTGGTAATATCCTCCCTTTTATTTTGGAAAATTCTTTCCCTGCTCTGGACCCTAAAGGTTTCCCACAATGCACAGCCTTGGCCTGGGGGGTGCACAGGAGGAAATGATTATGTCATTCACAGTTCCCCACTCCCTGGCCAGGGAAGAATTAAAGGAAAATGACCCTAGGAGAACCAGAGAGACTTGCCTGGTTTCTAAGTCTTGCTCTGCCACTTGCTGGCTTTGTGAACTTGGACAGCTTTACATAACTCCTCCTCAGTGTTTTAAGAATAGATAATTATAATGCCTTTCTCATAGAATTGTGTAACAGAATTCAAGATTAAGTACAGGCATACCTTGTTTTATTGTGCTTCACAGATAGCATATTTTCAAATAAACCGATAGTTTGTGGCAACCCTGCATCAAGCAAGTTTATCGGGACTATTTCTCCTACAAGCTGGGCTCACTTTGCATCTGAGTGTCACATTTTGGTAATTCTCACAATATTTCAAACTTTTTCATTATAATTGTATCTGTTATGGCAACCTGTGGTCAGCAATCTTTGTTGTTACTACTGTAGTTGTTGTGAGGTGCCACAAACTGTACCCATGTAAGGTGGCAAAGATAATCAATGTCATATGTGTTCTGAGTGCTCCGCTAACCAGCCATTCCCCACCTCTCTCCCCCTCCTTGGGCCTCCCTAGACCCCGAAACCCAATAATATTGAAATTAGGCCAACTGATAATCCTACAGTGGCCTCTAAGTATTCAAGTGAAAGGAAGAGTTGGACATCTGTCACTTTAAATCAATAGCTAGAAAGAATTAAGCTTAGTGAGGAAGGCATGTCAAAAGCCCAGGTAGGCTGAAAGCTAGGCCCCTTCATACCAAATAGCCAAGTTTTGAATGCAATGAAAAAGTTCTTGAAGGAAATTAAAAGTGCTACTCCAGGGAACACAGGAATGACAACAAAGTAAAACAGACTCATTTTTCATGTGGAAAACATGTTAGTGGCCTAGATAGAAGATCAAACCAGCCACAGCATTTTTAAGCCAAAACTTGACCCTCTGGAATTCTATGTACTCTGAAAGAGGTGAGGAAGCTTCAGAAGAAAAGTTGAAATTAGACAGGTTGGTTTATGAAAAGAAACCATCACCATAACAAAGTACAAGGCAAAGCAGCAAGTGCTGATGTAGAAGCTGCAGCAAGTTATCCTGAAGATCTAGCTAAGGTAATTGATGACGGTGACTACCCTAAACAATGGCTTTTCAATGTAGACAAAACAGCCTTCTGTCGGAAGAAGATGCTATCTAGGATTTTCACAGCTAGAGAGAAGTCGATGCCTGGTTTTGAAGCTTCAAAGGACAGGCTGACTCTCTTGTTAGGGGCTAGTGTGCCGATGACTTTAGGTTGAAGCCAACGCTCATTGGCCAGTCCAAAAATCCTAGGGTCCTTAAGAATGATGCTACATCTACTGTGCCTTTGCCCTACACAGTACATCTATTTATAGCATGGTTTACTGAATATTTTGAGGCCTACAACTTCAGAAAATATTCCTTTCAAAATATTACTGTCATTGACATTGACACCTGGTCACTCAAAAGCTGTGATGTAGATGTGCAAGGAGATTAGTGTTGTTCTCATGCCTGTTAATACAACATTAATTCTGCAGCCCATGGATCAACAAATAGTTTCAACTTCCGAGTCTTATTATTTAAGAAATACATTTCATAAGACTATTGCTTTCATAGATAGTGATTCTTCTGATTGATATGAGCAAAGTAAATTGAAACCTTCTGGAAAGCATTCACCATTCTAGATGCCATTAAAAACATTCATGATCATGGGAGGAAGTAAAAATATCCACATTAACAAGGTTTGGAAGAAGTTGATTCCAATCCTCACAGGCAACTTTGAAGATTTTAATGTAGAAAGTCAAGGAAGATGTGGTGGAAATAGCAGGAGAGCTAGAATTAGAAGTGGAGTCCAAAGATGTGACAGAATTGCTGCAATCTTTTGATAAAACTTCAATGGATGAGGAATTGCTTCTTATGGGTGAGCAAAGAAAATGGTTTCTTGAGATGAAAGCTATTCCTGGTGAAGATGCTGTGAACACAGTTGAAATGACAACAAAGGGTTTGGAATATTCCATAAACTTAGTTGATAAAGCAGTGGCACAGTTTAAGAGGATTGACTCCAATTTTGAAAGAAATTCTACTGTGGGTAAAATGCTATCAAATTGCAGCACACGCTACAGTGGTCTTTCCCAAAAGGAAGGGTCCTTAGTACAGCAATCTTTACTGTTGTCTTATTTTATGAAATTGCCCACAGCCACCCCAACCTTCAGCAATTATCATCTTGATCAGAGGACAGCCATCAACATGGCAAAACCCTCCACCAGCAAAAAAGATTACATACGACTCCCCAAAGGCCAATAATTGTCAGCAATTTTTAGCATGAAGTATTTTTAGATTAAGATACATATGTTATTTTTTCAGACATAATGCTATTGTATACTTAACGACTACACTAGATTATAAACATAACTTTTGTGTGTGCTGGGAAACCAAAACTTTCACGTGACTTATTTTATTAGTGATATTCACTTTATGACAGTGGTCCGGAATCAAACGCACAATATCTCCAAAGTATGCCTATATGAAGCAAGGAGCACAAAGTAAACACTCAATAAATGTTAGCTATATTATTTCCTTACTATTATTATTTTCAGCATTGTTATGCAGATAATGAGAGTTCTCCTCTATCTTCTGGGGTTGAGAAATTGACATGTGTGAAGTTGAGGGTGCCAGCACCACCTCCCTGGCAGCATGGAAAAAGCCATCTGCAATAGGGGAGAACAATGACAAAGAAAAGCAAAGCCAAGTAATCGGATTAGAGACAGAGCCCCAGGAACTTTGAAAAATGGCTTAATTCACCCAGACCTGAATATTAGCCTCAGGAAATTCCAGTTACATTGGATGATGAATGCTTTTTTCCTTTTTCCTAAAGGCAGTTGAACTGAGTTTATATCATCTTCAAATTAATAAAGGAGATTTGATTAGACAATTTCTAAGGGTTCTCCCATTTTTAAAACTATTTGGCTCCATCATTTTATGCTACTTATTCATCGTACATTTAGGGATATCTAAAGTATAAAGGGGACTTTTCCTGGAAAGACAATAATGTTGAAATATTTTCATTGCAACAAAATTGTCCACAGATGTTTAGAGTGGAGAAAGTTTAGAGGATTGATTTAATTGAGCAAAAACATCTATATATGACCAATATGAGGAAAGGCATTTAAGCTGGGGCCTGACATCTGAATAGGACTTGACATAGTGAAGAGTGGGAAGAATTCATTCTCATTGGCAATCAGGGAAATGCAGACCAAGATCACAATAAGATACCAATTTACACCATTGCAGCAGCACTAATCAAAAATACTTAGCATCGTTGAACTTGTTCCTTTGTGCCACTGGAGAAAGTGTGGAACCATGAGATTTCTTGTACATTGCTCTGGAGTATAAATTGGTAGAGTAACTTTGGATAACATCCATTATATTGACATTATAAAGTTATCACATATCCTACAACTCAGGACAATTTGCCTCCTAAGACATCTACCAAAGAGTAAGCTTGTACAGCAGGAAACCTGTATAAGAATGTTCACAGTGGCACCACTCATAACATCAAGAACCCGGAAACAGCCCAGTTGCGTGAATCTTAGCAATATGACATTGAATGAAAAAGCCCTAAAAGATTATAAATAGTATGATACCATTTTTATAAATAAAAGAAATTTCAATTAAATAATATACATTTTAGGAATACATAGAGGTATGTGTGAGAGAGAGCAAGAAAGAGAGAGAGAGAGGAAAGAAAAAATAAAGAAAGAAAGAAAGAAAGAAAGAAAGAAAGAAAGAAAGAAAGAAAGAAAGAAAGAAGAAAGAAAAGAAAGGAAAGAAAGAAAGGTAGATAGGAAGGGATGGAGAAAGACAGGAAGAGAGGCAGGAAGGGAGGGAGGGAGGAGAAAGATCAACTCAGGATTTTGATGGAGTTTCTTTTGGATGGAGGGAAGCAGGAGGTCAAAATACTGGAGAATCTCAAGAGTAGATGTAAGTTGTTCACATTCTTATTTCCAAACTAGTTCCAGTGTAAAAAGTGTCTCATAAGCCAAGGATTATGATTAATCTAATTCTATGCACTTTTGCTTTAAGAAAAAAAAATGTCAAGGAGAGCATTAGACACAGAGAAATGAGCTTAACTTAAAGCTCTTTCTGGTCCTCCCTGTCCTCCCTTCCCTCATTACCTGTGGCTAGAGCTGGACAGTATGTGTGTGTGCGTGTGTGTGTGCATGCAATGTGTGTGCATGTATGTGTGTGTATACATAACCTTTTTGCTAAGGGGTACAGGGAAGTTAGGGAACTAGTATAAGGTTAGAGAAGTCACAGGGGGCATATCATTTAGGGCCTTTTAGGCTATGAGGACTTGGTCTTTTATCCTAGATGCAACAGAAAGCCACAGAAGGCTTTAAGCAGAAGAAAGACACAATCATATTTAGGTTGTAAAGGATGCAGAATGAAGATTAGATTGAGGAGCAGGGAGGCAGTGGGAATGAAAGCAGAGAGAAGTGAGAAGATTCTGTACCCCATCTGGCAAGGGAGACCTAAGTACCTAGGACCAGGGGGCAGCAGTGGTGATGGGGAGGAGTGGACTAATTTAAGAATGTTTAGAGACAAAAACTGCATCTTAGTAAGTTTTCCATTTTCCCAGTGTATAAGTCTATTCTCATGCTACTAATAAAGACATACCTGAGACTGGGTAATTTATAAAGGAAAGTGATTTAATTGACTCACAGTTTGGCATGGCTGGGGAGACCTCAGGAAACTTGCAATCATGGCAGAAGGGGAAGTAAACATGTCCTTCTTCACATGGTGGCACAAGGAGAAGTGCTGAGTAAAAGGGGAAAAAGACCCTTGTAAAACCATCAGATCTCGTGAGAACTCACTCACTATCATGAGAAGAGAAGTATGGAAGTAACAGCCCCCATGATTTAGTTACTTCCCACTGGGTCTCTCCCATGACACATAGCGATTACAGAACCTACAATTCAAGATGGGATTTGGGTGGGGACATAACAAAACCATATCACCCAGAGATAAGGTGTTCATCCATAACGCTCTATACATCATGTCAAGTGACTAATTTACACACTTGCAATTAAACATTCAAACATCTGTTCATTAGAGGTGACTGTATGTCACCAGAAGCCCTCACAAAAGAGGTAGTCTTTGAAAAACCTCAGCTAGCAATGCCAGTTAGTGTTTGTTATCCAACATGCTGCAGCTGTAATTGGGAAATAACTGAACCATGTACTTATTAGAAAGGAAAATGAATGGCCTCTCACAACCCTTCCCTCAAGTTTATGACTTGGAAACCTAGACCATAAGAGTTATCCAAAAAATTCCAAAAATGGTCAGAAGCTTCCATCACCCTCTCCTGAAGAGGAAGGTGAGCCTCATCATCCTGCCTATAGCCAGGATGCCTGGAACGCCTCACAGTGATAATTTTCTCTTCAGATTGTTTTTGACAATTAAATCAGACCTTGATGAATTTGGAGGAAAAAACACCCAGCACAGTGATTATGAGTACTAATTAGGAAGAAAAACAGTGGCTTTGATGAATCTGTGCTTGGTTTGTTCCTTATTGACTGGCTGCTATTAGACTTGTTGGTTGGTTGGTTGAAATATTCCATTAAAATCTGATACACTCAGGGTCCTTTATTCTGAAGAGCCTTCCAAGGATGAGGAGTGAGTGGGTAATAGGGCTGTGAAAGGCAAACATTTATTTATTATTTTATTTGTTGGATGCACAGGGAATTCCTTGAGCAGGTTCTAAGCATATGTCTTCATCCAAGTACAAGGTAACCTGTGTAACTCTGGGGAAATTTGCTTTAAAGGCAGCTATTTGTTACTTTTCTAAATGCAAAGTCCTCAAGGCCTGCCTTCAACACTTACTGTGACCACATGTCCATACCTGAGCATGGCATTGCCATGGTAAATGCCATGAGCTGGACTGGCACATCCTCTCTACCTTTGTTTCTAGGCAAATGGCTCTGACTGCCCATCCAAAACTTTACAAGGGAAATATCTCAGCAAAAGGCAGAATACAGGGATGCATTTTCCCCTGCAAGACTGTCTAATTTTTTGGTAACCCTAACTAATTTCATCCTGCATAGTCTTGTGACATTGATCAAAACAAGAAAAGGCTGCAGCCAAACTCAAGTTTTTCCCTGCTGCCCAAAGACCACACCCTCCCTTTTTGGTTTTGGAGAAGCAATTATGTATCATGCCTAGACTAATCAAAAAGTAATTTTCAAAAGACCATTCTGAAGAAATCATAAGTCTGACTCAAATGAAGAACCTTTTGGAGTCACCCACAACAGGGAACTTACATGAGTGCATCAGCTAATCATCAGAACTCCAACCTCTGAATTCTATTTTGACACCTGCATCCCACATCCAAATATGAGACCTATTCTGGACTATGCAGCAAGTGGTAAGAAGAAAGGAGAAACTGACTGCCCATAGCCAAGCACTTGCTCATTCCTGCTGATGCAGATGGAATTCTTGCTATAATAATTATAATTGTATTTAACAGCAATAAATAGTCACATGTTTAAGTGACAGTGGAATTGTGACTATTAACATTTGGTTTTCAACAAATCCACATTGTTGGAGGTGGTAGTAGAGAGAAATCTAAAGAGTTACAAGATTGTATTCTCAATTCCTTAGTGTCTATAAATTAAATCTTATGCAAAGACCACAATTACTCTGAATTTCCAAATAGGAAAGATGAATTATTGCAGCGGCTTATTCAGACGCAGAGTGCAGGCATCTGCAGGTGAACTTCCTGGCAAGTCTGGGAGAGTCCTCATGTTGCATCAGCGATCTAATAGCTTATTGAGTAGGAATGGACTTGACAGATGGGGGAACACCCATGCCTGCTAAATGACATAATGGCTCCCTAATGCAACGATCTGCCATAAGTTAGATTTCCAGAGTCATACTTAGGAGTAAAGACAAAAAGAGTTTTGTTTTGTTTTTGTTTTAGAATAACCTACTTGTTATTGCCTCATTTTGCATAGTACTGGAGCATGCATTTTCTGCTCAAAGTCTGCCTGATCCTATCCTTAAGTCTCCTAGTTTTAACAGCACGATGTACAATGTCACTATGACCTCAGGAAGTGGGGAGAAAGAGTGGTGAACATTTTATAATCTGGCTTGCTTTAAAGTCACTTCTAGGTAGGAATCTGAATTTTTGGTGTTGTCAAACACCTGTCTCTGTCTGAAGAACCATCTCTATCACTCAAGACATTTCAGATGTCATTTTCTCAGTAATTCTCTCTCTCTTTGAAGTTTTATACCTCGTTACTGTGCACAATCATAAGACACTAAGTTTTACTGTGTGTTACAGCTTTTTACATTCTTACTTTCTTCCTCTCTACCAGAATATAAACCCACAGACAGAAGACAACCACCTTTCATTAATCTATAGAGCCAAATCCAGTTTTACATATCCAACAGGAGTTTACCAGACAGGATCCAGACTTTGCTCTTAGACCTACCTAGATTAGAAATCGGACTCCTTAATACACCAGCTGCATGCCTGGAGACATGAGTCTTATCTTTTGAGGGCCTCAGTTTTTTTAGCTTTAAGATGGAGATAATAATAGGTTATGTACTATAGGTCTTTTGACAGTATTAAATGAGATGATGCAAATTATTTAGCAAAGTCACTTGCATATGATGAGTGCTCAATAAGTGGACGTTATTAAAATTACTATTAAATTAATCCCAAATGTACTTCCTGTTTTCTTCACTGGGAGGTCCTTCAAGTCAGAGATAAATGTATTCCACTTTGTAATCCCAGTATCAAGCACTGTGCATGATCCATGCTAGGTCCTCACTGTTTCTGGAAAAGGTGCATATCTCAGATGTCTGGCTTGCAATGTTAGGTCCTTCTGTTGGTTGTGAGCCTGCAGAATCTTTTATTCCATTGCAAACAGCAGGAAGAGGAAGCTAATTGTCTGGATAATGTCTGCAGGCCTCATTTGCAAGAACTAGAGAATGCTTCTCTCCATTCAATAGCATAAGGTTACTGTTTAAGTTTTCTATTTTCTGCACCTTGTTCGCTCCTTTTTGTTCAGAGAAAATAGAGTAGAAGTGAAGCAGGAGAAGAAAACAAGAAGTATTATATTGAAATGCTAATCTCATTTCATTAAATGAATTGTGGAGGCTGAGATAGTGATCTGCATCCACAAAGAATAATTTCTTTAAATGCCTTGAGCTCAATATTCCCTTCTGGACAACTTTTCATCTTCTTTTTTTTTTAAAGTATTAAATTGTGCTAAAGCGTCCCAACTGAGCTTGGTTTTTAGATCATCCAAGCTAAAGGGTATATACTCAGTGGTGAGGGTGAGGCACTGATGCACCCCAAAATCTCCTCTTAAAAACAGCTGTGCCCTGCCTTCTCAGGCTGGCTTACATTGCCTGAAGCAGCTCCCCAAAGCTGAGTAGTGCTTATTTCAGGAAATAGCAAATAATCACACTGTTTCAGGTCAAGTCCATTACAAAGTTGGCCAGGTCACCGCAAGCTTCTCTCAGAGGCTTTGGCCCCAAAGCTTCCATATTTATTGGGAGTAAACCTTTATCTAAAAGAGCATCCATTTTGGCCCCAAAGCTTCCATATTTATTGGGAGCAAACCTTTATCTAAAAGAGCATCCATTTCAGTTCTCTAGGGAGGACAGCTGCTGATCCAAGAATGTTCTTTATAATGAGCTTGGGGTTGAGGTCATAAAGTTGTTCACGGCCAGCTCTGTTCTTGCTGTACCTGTGGGCTTGTACTTGAACTTGAGAAGGTCAGATTCAAAGTTATTTTTAATTACAATTTTTAAAAGATATTTTAACCTAGAATGAAAGGGTTGGAAGCATGGAAGAGAATAGGTACTCCCAGAAGACAGGGAAGCAGGGAAGAAATTAAACAAAGCAGGTGATCTCACAAGAAATGGAAGTGACCAGAACAGATGGGAGGAAAGCAGCAGTGCCTCTGAAGACACAAAACTTTATCCTAGAATAGCAAAGGTCTCTAGAAAACGCTAGGAGAACAGAAGAGGAAAAAGGAGAGGTAGAAGAAGCTACTAAGACAATATAAATAATTCCATTCAAGAAGGATCTAGTCTTTTGACACCAGAGGAGAGAATAAGATGCCAAGCTACTCTCTCTGGATGTATGTGAGACAGGATTCTGATATACCAGCAAGATAAATCAACTCTGGCTGTTTTAAGCAGAAAATTGTTCAATAGAAGGATGACGGGTAGCTGCTGAATCACTAGGAACACTCAACAACAGACTCAGCAGCTACTTAGGAGCAGAATCCAATCCACACAGCAGGTCTGTGAATGTCCCCGTTGGAGCCACAACTGAGCCCTGGGAGCTCCAGCTTACTGGACATGCAGCCCCAGTCACTGGCTAGTGAGCCCACTGCTAGCAATTGTTCCTAGAGCCCTTAGAACATAACCTTGCTACAATCCCCTCTACTGCCAGACAGGAGTCTCACTGGGCTCTTCATTCATCTTCACTAGCTCCTATTCAAAGTATCGTTGAGTGTATGTTAGAGCTTAGCTCATATGTTTGTGCTCTAGTTGTAGCCATAGCCAGAAAATGAACTTTCTGGCATCTTCAGCAACTCTAGTGAGAGATGAGCTCTATGTTTAGCAAATTCTCTGAACATAAGAAACAAGTTCAGATAAAAAAGTGAAAAATAATGACAGAGGTCTAGTACATAATGAAATCTATTTCAAGTTCCTAAAATATTAAGAATGGGATACCATAGTTCTGCGAAGTAAACACTGGGTACTGTAGCCATAACTGGGTATAGTGGTTACAAGCACAGGTTCTGGAGACAGAGAGACCTAGGTTTGATTCTGACTTCATTGCTTCTATACCTACGTGATCTCGGACAAGGCTATTTAATCTTTTTGAGCCTTACTTTCCCCGTTGGCAAAATAGGCTTAATAACAATTTGTCAACATCAATGCCGTGGCATCTGCTGTGACATCTGTTGTTTTTCGCCTTCTTAGAACCTCTTTTTCATCCTGTCGTCCTAATAATGTTCCCATTTTCTATGGAGAACTTAGTGTGATCCAAATGGGCCCACCCAAATTGCCCTCATTCACATGGGTGGCATGTGACTCAGATTTGACCAATCATTGTATCCCATTTCCCTGGCCTCAGTGATTGACTCAGGGATGGGGATGGGACTCAACTTGGGCCAATCAGAATCCTTCCTGGAACCTTTCTCCTGGGGATGCATGAAGGCTATTTCTCTCCACCAAGGCTGCTACATTGGTAGGAGGTGAGCTTAGAACTGCAGGAGGTCATGTTTCCCACTTCACAGAGAAAGTTTGCCTGAGGTAGAAATGAAGACAGAGTCGTGAAGACTTTGTCTGAGTACTTTCATACAGCTAGACACAAAGTCACCTGCTCTCCTGTGTTTCTCAGTTATGAGAGTCAATACATTTCCCTTTATGCTTAAGCTAGTTTGTATTGAATGTCTGCCAATAACAACCTAACAAGTCCTGAGGAATCTAGTTGTCGAAAGCATTACATGAGATAATGCTAGTAAGATAATGCTTAGTGAGTATCTGGCAAATATTTTGTTTTTTATCTTATTTGCAATAGGTGCAGGCATTGAGTTGAACTGTAATAAAAATGATACTTACTATTATTATTATTTGCATTGTTCAAGACTTGGCCATATCCTGTATTATCTGTCACTCTCGAGGCTAAATGCATTTCAAAGTTTTGCTAATGGTATTAATAACATTCCCTTTTTCCCAAATGTAATATACTTTCTCCTCCTTCAACCCAAATCCTACACCTTTGAAGTCATAAGTGTTGCTGCCTACAAAAAGTAAGCCCTCCCTACAAAAAGTAAGACTAGTCCAGGTTTCATCAGTTTCCCTCCTTTCTGACTATGTACAGCATATCATTGTGCATCAGGGCATTTGTTGTTTCTATATTCTCTCATCATGGTGACTATTTCATGTGTTTGACCCTTGGAACCCATGTTCTGAGCTGCATTATACTTTCATTGACAGTAAGAACAAATGTTATGCCTCTTTATATACCTCACTGCACAAAGCAGGGTGGAGCATTACTCTTCTCTGTACATAGGGGGCAATAGACTGAGTAATCTTACAAAACGTTTGGTTTTGTAGGCATAGATGCTCAGGAAATACTTGTTTGTAGACTGATTTCATAGACTAAATGAATTTTGTCTTCAATGCCACAGGTGGTAAGTAATCTGCCCAAGTAAACATATGAACCAACAAAAAGAGGACTTGAAGCCAGGTCTAACTTTCATTTGAATGTTCTTTTATTGCTATAGTAGGTGAATTTAGCTACTTTGAGGGTATACCAAGTGCAAAGTTATTGATATTCAATATGACTTAAGTACTTACTCTGTGCTGGTAGCATGCTTTCTATGCATTATCTTATTTAATTCTAGGAGGTAGAACACTATTGCTGTCCCCTTTTTGCAGTTGAGCAAACTGAGTCTTAAGAGAGGTTAAGGGATCTGACCAAAGTTACACAGCTATTAAATGTCAGAACTGGATATTAGCCTGGTACTCTCTGACTTAAAAGACTCTTCTCTTAATTACTAGATCGTTAGGGGCCCTCAATAAACAAATAGTTTGTGTCTTGTTACTCCTGAAAAGTCAATTGAAGCTTAGGATTTCAATAGTTTTGACATAGTACCTTGATGCTCTAAGAAAGCCAGAGCTTCAACACTGTGCCTTTGCCTTTCTGACACTCCAGATGATGCAGGCACCTCTTTTTAGCCATGTCTCACATTTTACTCATTTTTAATGGAATGCTAATTTTGTATGCATTCTCCATATCCAGATTTAGACAAGGCACATAGTTGAGCAGACTTAGTTTTTATCTAAATGTGCCATATCTCAGGTGAAAAATGTGCTGCCTGCAATGTAATTATGCATTCAGAATAATATGTGTGTCTGCTGGGGGCTTATAAATCAATAGCTTATTGTGCAATATATTGTCCAATGTTTTGCCATAGACATATTTGAGGAAACTAAAACTTGTCAACTGGTTGCACATTAATAATGAGTTTGGGACTTCGACAGGAAAGCAGAATAAATCTGAGTTGCCATCCATTGACCAAGAAGACCTCGACACTTTCTCATCTGTCTGCTGCAACCAAGGCCTGAGCAAAGCCTACAATTAGTCAATAATGTCACAAGAAGGTAAGGCCTGGTGCTTTCATTCTCCAGAATAGTCATTTATTTTTCATTCCATGAACACTTACCTAGTACCTGCAGTTGGCCCTAGAGATAGAGGGGTGAAAAAGACAAGCCAAGGGCTCCGTTCTCTTGGATCTGGCATGTGGGTGGAAAGTGATGAACAAGCAAGTAAACAAATGTATGAATGGATAATATTATTTCAAATAGTGGTACGTGCTATGAAGAAAATAAAACAAGGTATTGGGTTTAGGCAGAGACTGGGGTTGGTGAGGCAGGACATGATAATAAATGAATATTTAGGAATGACCACTCTGAGGAGTAGATACAGGAGATGAGAACTGAAAGATGAGAAGGAATCAATATGTAAAGATTGGAGGAAAAGCGTTCCAGGGACAGGGCATAGCATGTGCAGAGGCGCAGCATGTGCAAAGGAAAACTGGCTGGTGTGACTGGAGAGTAGAAAGCAGGGGGAGAGAGTAGGATAAATGACATTAGACAAGCAAGCAATGGCTTGGTTATGTAGGACCTGGCAGGTTATTGTAAGAAACTGAGATTTCATTTTAAGTGTGGAACAAAGCCCCTGGAGGGATTTAAAGCCAGACAATGATGTGATATGATTTATAAGCTTTCTGCCACTCCAGTCCAATTGCATGTACTTATTGCAAATTTAAAGTTCTGGAAGAAAAATTAGCTCCAAGTGAGAGCTGCCTGTGTACAAACTGTATTAAACTCTACAGATTTTTTTCTCTGGGAGAATGGGGAAATTCTTTTCTAACAGCCACATCTTGACAAGGCAAGTGCTTTTTGAAAGGGTTTTGCAGTATTGAAATTGCCAAAGACTCCTGGAAATTTTACCCTTGATGTTATGGTTAAGCAGAGAGTTTCTGAATGACTTGCTGAGCTTCAGTGAAAAGCAACAGCCAGGAAAGGCAGGTGACCTTTCTTTGCGAATGGAGATAAACCAATGCATCTGCCAAGGGCTGTGAATTGTGCTTCGTAAAGCAGTTAATGGTCACACTGAGTCAGCCATTCGCACTCTAGTACCTTCAGAAAGAGACAGAATTCTGGACAGCAAGAGACATAATTCAAATTCCAGCTCTGTGTCTTCCTAGCCGTGTAACAGTAGTCAAGCTATTTAATATCTGTGAACCTTAGTTTGGTCACCTGAAAATGGAGATTAATAATGGTACTACCTTCTTGGGTTGTAACGTGAAGTAAATGAGGCAACACAAGCAATACATTAAGGCCAGGGAAAAGCATAAATATTTGCTATCAGGGGTTCATATTTGAAAGATACGTACCTAGGTTGAGAAGTATAAACCATAGCACAAGGTGTTCTGAAAGGAAAGACAAACAGCCCTTTGGACAAACACCTTCTTATGAGAATGATGCTCTCAACTCAACCACTTGTTTTTGTATAACCAGATCGAGTCAACCACCTATTTATGTATGGTCTGCAAGCAAAGAATGTTTTTTACACTTTTAAATAGTTGGACAAAAAACAAAAGAATTTGTGACATATGGAAATGCTAGGAAATTCAAATTTCAGTGTCCATAAATAAAGTTTTATTGGAACATAGCTGTGTACATTTGTTTATGTAGTGTCTGTGGCTGCTTTCTCTCAAAAATGGCAGTGTAAAGTAGTTGCAAAAGAGATGATGCAGCCTGCAAAGCTAAAAATATTTATTGCCTGGCCACTTTCAGAAAAAGTGTGCTGACCCCTACTCCAAGCAGCTGAGCTGGCTATACTGAAGCTAACTAAATTGCCCTTCTGTTCAGATTTCTGTCCATTTACATTCAAGTTTCTTTTGACAAGACTGCTAATCCCCAGGTGGTGGTTTATTCCTCTCCTGGATATTTGGCCTGCAGTTAGTGCACTTCAACTAGTTGAACTGTGGTAGGTCAGGTATGACCTCACGGTCTTTCCACCTGCCACTCTAACGTGAATTGAACAAACAGAATGTTGTGGACTTTCCTATTTGGTTAAGTTTTTGGTGGAAAATTTCTCACTAAAAGTGCTGAACAGAATCATCAATTAATATTATATTACTCCACGTAAATCGTTGATATGAGGCATGATTTAAAGAAACACAACCATAAGTACTTACAGGTAACTTTTTATTGGACATTAGATTTGTCTATTGGCAATTAATATAAGCTTGATCATATCTTCACACTTGAGAAGAAAACTTCCACTTCAGACAGGTGGAAGCCTTATATGTAGAGAAAAAATGAGAATCCTACAGAGTCTCTGGACCGTTATCTATCAAAAGCTTTAGCAGGCGGTTTCCTTTCAGCTTTTGATCTCTGTCAAGAGAAGTCTGTCAGGGAGCAAATTAGCAGGCAAATGCCCTTCCAAGTTCCTTACTTTTGATCTGTCTCTCCTCAGATAGCATAGATATTGGTTTTTAAGGGGAAAAGTTATACGAAAATGTGCTGTTTGTGTATTTGAAATCTACTGAGCCTTTCTTTAATCAGAAAAAAAAAAATCATTGTTGCTCTCTGTCTTTCCTCTTCATAGTTTTCCTGTTAATAAGTCCCCATTGTTTCCGAACCATTTGGATGCAAAGAAGTAAGTTTCCTACTCTAGGCCACAAATAATACTGCATGCATCATAAATATCATCTCATTTAATCCTTATTCGACCCTACGGCTGTGTGCTGTGTTCCCATTTTATAAGTATGTAAACTAAGGCTTGGAGAAATTAAGTAATTTGCCTTGTGTCACATAGCTTGTAAGAGACATACCTGGGATTTGAACCCAGAGCTTCTAATTCCCCCAAACTGCTATTAGTACTACAATTCAGCACAGAGTTCTTTGCTTGAGTTTAACTTTATCATTTAAGATCCCCTTCCCCAAATTAACCAAAGATAAATAATTTAGCTCATATGTATAATAAAGAGACTTGGTGTTCCTAATAAGAACAAAAATGATGTATTAGAAAACAAAATGTTCTTTCCAGGGGCTTGCTTTGGGCACTGTGTCACAAATTCTATGAACCAATAACATATGCTTTATCTAAGATGAGACTGATAGATTTGGGACACTTCTAGGGAGTCTCTTATTCTGTAAAGATTTGACAACTAGCTACATCTGTGTTATCGGAACACAATGCGATGAAACGTCATGGATTACCTTCTATATTTACTCCTCAGTATTGATTTAAATTTATTGCTGGAATCTATGCTTTGCAGCCCTATCATTTACTCAACCTGTTCACCATGATAAGAAATGTATGAAAAGTAGTGCCACTTCCAAAACGTATTCTACTGGGCTCATGGCATCTTTTAAGACTTTTTTCCCTTTTCAATTTTACTGAGGTATAATTTGCAAACAAAAAGTGCACCCATTTCAAGTGTACATTTGGATGCATCTTGACACATGTATACAGCTTTGTAAACACCAGCTCCATTAATGCAAAGAACATTTCTATAATTCCATAAAGTTCCCTCATGGTCCTCTGCAGTCAGCGCTCCCATGCATCCCTACCTCATGGATTAGTTTTGACAGTTCTAGGATTTCACATCAGTGGAATCATACAGTATGTACTCCTTTATTTCAGATTTATTTCATGTAATGCCTTTGAGATTAATCTATGTTGTTCTGTGGATCAGTAATTTACTCCCTTTTATTGCTAAGTAATACTCCATTTTATGGAATTTTGTTTGTCCATTAATTTGTGATGGACACTTTGGTTGTTTCCAGTCTGGGGCTATTATGACTAAAGCTGTACATCAGTGTGCAAGTTTTGGGTGTATTTTTTTTATTTCTCTACCTAGGGGTAGAATGGCTGGATTATATGTGAGTTAATTTTATTAAAAACTGTCAAAAAGTTCTCCAAAGTGGTTGTACCATTTTATACTCTCACCAGAAACATGTGAAAGTTCCAGTGTCTTGGTTATCAGTAGTTAGTGGATTTTAGCTTCATGATAATCTAGATCTTTCTCAGTAAAACAGTGACTCTTGAACCAGTAGAGAAATGGACTCCAGAGAACCAATTTCTGCAAAGCTGTAAGGAGAAACATTACCTTAACTGTTAAAAACCTGATTTTATTGGTTAATTTCTGAGGAAGAATGCTCATAAATTTTAAAAGAACATGACTTAAAATCCAGTCTGTGAAAGTGAAATTGATGTAGGTAGTCTGTTGCTCAGAGACAGGACTTTAATGAGTAACTACTGTTTGGGTGTTGGTCATGGAACTATGCTGGGGTTACCGGTGACTTTAAAATGTGACCTACTTAAGACCTTCGTCTGATGCCTGCAGTGTGCCTCAGATGGGCACTTAAAACGGGTTTGAATGCTTCCAGGAGATTGTGAGTCAAGGAAAACTGCTACATGGGGGAAGGAACAGAGTGGCAGCTGAGGAAACCCAACCTCTGCCCCAAGATACCACTCCCACTCCGTGCTCTGTTCTCACCAAGGGAGCCGGGAAACAAGGGCGTGGGGTGTGGCAGGGCTAAATTGACTTCCATCGTCCCATTTAACTCAGAGAGAGGAAGCCAGGAGCTGAATAGAGACCAGAAGCTTTTTCTCTTAACAGTGTGAAAGAGAAAGCTCTTCGATTTTATAGCCGAGTCGTTAATTAGCCAAATTGAATTAAACACCCTCAAATGCTGGCAGCTAAAGAACCACAAGTTTGTGGCACCAGGGTTGAACCCAAATGGAGCAAACCTAATTTCAAACAGAGAAAATCAAATAAGGAAAATGGAAAAATTATAATTTGTCTTTTATTTTTATTTTTTGAGACAGGATCTTGCTTTGTTGCCCAGGCTGGAGTGTTTTGGCACGATTTTGGCTCACTGCAGCCTCAACTTCCCAGACTAAAGCAATCTTCCCACCTCAGCCTCCCAAGTAGCTGTGACTAAAGGAGCATGCCATTATGGCTGGCTAATTTTTGTATCTTTTGTGGAGAACAGAGTTTTGCCATGTTGCCCAGGCTGGTCTCAAACTACTGGCTCAAGGGATCTGCCCACCTCAGCCTGCCAAAGTGCCGGGATTACAGGCATGAGCCACCATGCCTGGCCTGATTTGTGTTAAATCTAAGAAATGAGAGCACTTCCTAATTGTGCACACACTCCTGTCTTTGTCTCACTGCCTGCTAAGGAATCATGTTTTTTTTTTTCTCAAAAGTTAATTTTAATTTTAGTGTAATATTTAGCCCTTGATATAAAGCATATAGTTATATGTTAAAAAGTGGAATTGTCATTCCTAGTTTTTGCAGGCTAGATTTGGAGGGCAGATACAGAGTTCTCTGAAAAGACCATTTGCTGGTGGCCTTGCTCAAATTAGAGCCACAGATTCCCAAAGCTTCAAAAAGTAGACAAGTAAACAAAGTTGTAGAGGCTCCTAGAATAGTACTACAAGAAACAGATGGAAATACAGAAAGAACTTTAACAGAGATTAATATATAACACTTTTAAATGTTTTCTGTCATTGTACTAAATGCTTTAAGTATGTTATTTTATTCGACTTTTATTAATACAATAATTCCACGAAGGAAGTTGCTTTGGTTTTTTCCAGCCCACTTTACAGTTAAAGAAGCTGAATCACAGAGAGGCTTATCCAAGTGTACAGACCTAAAAGAAAACAGAGCTTTTCAACCACAAAATTAACCAAACAATTATACCACTCATCGAATCAAAATATGGTGCCTGTGCTTGGCCCTGGCAAACAGCCAGGCCTGTCTCAGGGCAGAGGAGGGCCACCTCCTGCCCTGAGGACATAAATGCCACAATAGAGGAACTCAGCTTAACAGAACCACCTGTAACAAACAGTCAGCTTTTTATAAGACAACACACTTCCCATTTCTACAGCACTCTTTCCATTTAAAGCATTGTGTGTGTGTATGTGTGTGTGTGTGTATAATTGCATTTAATCTTTACACCAACTTTGGAGGAGAGGAGTACATTAATTATTATTGCCATTTGACAGAAAAGACAATGAGTTTCCAAGTAGTTAAACAAGTTGCCCTGATTCTCTCACCCAGATCAGGAAACAGGTACTAGAGTCCTCATCTTCTGGTTCTAGGTTTTGCTTTTCAGTTTTAACTCTTCCTCCTCCTGAGAGGTGACAGCGTGCTGGCAGTCCTCACAGCCCTCGCTCGCTCTCGGCGCCTCCTCTGCCTGAGCTCCCACTTTGGCGGCACTTGAGGAGCCCTTCAGCCCACCGCTGCACTGTGGGAGCCCCTTTCTGGGATGGCCAAGGCCAGAGCCGGCTCCCTCAGCTTGCAGGGAGGTGTGGAGGGAGAGGCGTGAGCAGGAACTGGGGCTGCACGCGGCGCTTGCGGGCCAGCTGGAGTTCCAGGTGGGCGTGGGCTTGGCAGGCCCGCACTCGGAGCAGCCGGCCGGCCCTGCCGGCCCCGGGCAATGAGGGGCTTAGCACCCAGGCCAGCGGCTGTGGAGGGTGTACTGGGCCCCCCAGCAGTGCCAGCCCACCAGCGCTGCACTCCATTTCTCACCGGCCTTAGCTGCCTTCCCACGGAGCAGGGCTCGGGACCTGCAGCTCGCCATGCCTGAGCCTCCCACCCACTCCATGGGCTCCTGTGCGGCCCAAGCCTCCCCAACGAGCACCGCCCCCTGCTCCACGGCGCCCAGTCCCATCGACCACCCAAGGGCTGAGGAGTGCGGGCACACGGTGTGGGACTGGCAGGCAGCTCCACCTGCAGCCCCCGTGCGGGATCCACTGGGTGAAGCCAGCTGGGCTCCTGAGTCTGGTGGGGATGTGGAGAACCTTTATGTCTAGCTCAGGGATTGTAAATACACCAATCAGCACCCTGTGTCTAGCTCAGGGTTTGTGAATGCACCAATTGACACTCTGTATCTAGCTAATTTGGTGGGACCTTTGAGAACCTTTATGTCTAGCTCAGGGATTGTAAATACATCAATCAGCACCCTGTGTCTAGCTCAGGGTCTGTGAATGCACCAATCGACACTCTGTATCTAGCTACTCTGGTGGGGCCTTGGAGAACCTTTGTGTCCACACTCTGTATCTAGTTAATCTGGTGGGGAAGTGGAGAACCTTTGTGTCTAGCTCAGGGATTGTAAATGCACCAATCAGCGCCCTGTCAAAACAGACCACTCGGCTCTACCAATCAGCAGGATGTGGGTGGGGCCAGATAAGAGAATAAAAGCAGAAGGCCCGAGACAGCAGTGGCAACCTGCTGGGGTCCCCTTCCACACTGTGGAAGCTTTGTTCTTTCCCTCTTTGCAATAAATCTTGCTACTGCTCACTCTTTGGGTCCACACTGCTTTTATGAGCTATAACACTCACCGCGAAGGTCTACAGCTTCACTCCTGAAGCCAGCGAGACCACGAGCCCACCGGGAGGAAGAACAACTCCAGAGGCGCTGCCTTAAGAGCCGTAACACTCACCGCGAAGGTCTGCAGCTTCACTCCTGAGCCAGCGAGACTACGAACCCACCAGAAGGAAGAAACTCCGAACACATCTGAACATCAGAAGGAACAAACTCCAGACGCGCCACCTTAAGAGCTGTTAACACTCACCGTGAGGGTCCGCGGCTTCATTCTTGAAGTCAGTGAGACCAAGAACCCACTAATTCCGGACACACTCCCTTTGATGGGCTAACTGGGCAACAAAAATATAACTTTATGAGCTTTGACCAAGGTTCCCTGGAATAGACTATTTTAATAATAATGATAAAACTAATAGTAATAACACTAATTGCATCCTTCATGAATCCTCTTAACACAAACCTATGCAGTAGGCACTGTTGTCAGCCCCATTTCACAGTGGAGAAAACTGAGTCAAAGTGGTAATAAGTGGACAGGGGCCCAGGCTTGACTCCCTCCTGCTATAAATTCGATTTCTTCGATTAAGGTGAAACTTCTCCAATTTCATGAGTTTCAGAATCGTAACAAAGAGGCTGGAACATGAGCCCTCACTGTGAATGTACAGATCAAATGTCTACCTCACCCACTAACGAGAACCCATTGTCATAGCAACAGATGTATGAGATATTTCAGCTCAAGCACAGGGAAGCAACATTCTCAAACAATTCACAAGAGATCCTGGCTCCGTTCGTAATTACAGATTTCACTTGAAATTTTTTTAAAAAAATTATAAGTTGTTTCATCTTTTAAAGCAAACAGAAACCCTGAGAAGGAGAGAGAAGATTCATGAGATAAGTAAAACACAAAATTATTTGATGTAAGAGATTCAGAGTAAGAGGAAATTTCATAACATGTGGGGCCATTTTCCTAATATGGAAACTTTTCATATTATATCTTTTTACTGCCTAATGCTAAATTCTACCTGGCTTCCAGTCCTATAGTATTGAATGCCAAGTATCCTGTGAGAAACAAGAGTTCTGCTTTCATTTAATTTGCTTTAGGTGAACTCATTTTGCCTGCTGAATCCATAAGCCAGTGGTAAAAAAAAAAAATGTATTGCCCTGAGTGGCAGATGAGGGTAGTATGATCACATAGGACATACTTGTAGTAAAATAGTCACTGTTTATCTGAAATTCATATTTAATTTGTGATCCTCTATTTTTAAATGCTGAGTCTGGAAACCCTATTTGGAGACAGACTGAACAGGGTTCAACTTCCAGCTCCACCATCTACTGACTGTGTTAAGGTCAGTTATTTTGAACATGTGTGAACATGTCCAGTTATTTAACATGGCATTTCCTTATCTGTAAAACAAGGTTAATGCCTGCACCTATCTCATAAGGTTGTGTTGAGAATTTCATTTTAAAAATACCTGGTATGTGCCTGGAACATTATAAGCACTCTATAGATGTTTATCGTTAGTACTACTACTGGTGTTATCAGCCATCCTATTATCAGAACCACTAAATATAAATGATCACTGCCACATTTCCTAAATATAATAAAGAAAGTCATCTTTCCAGAAACCTAAATGATGTGACAAGTTAATGACATTTAACTAATAATAAATAGTAATGAACTAAATTTGGCTTAATAGACATTTATTAATTCCCTCATATATACGAGGCACAGAGCTAAGCACTAGAAGTGCAAAATTCATAAGCTGTCAGAGTTAAAAGGAAATGCAAAAGATGATCTTATTCGATGCCCCTCACTTTACAGATGAGGAAACCAGTCAGTGTGGGAGGCAGTGAGTCCTTTACCCAGCATCACAAGGTAAAATGGTGGTAAAACCAGGACTGGAAGCCAATCCCCCTGACTCTGAATCTAGGATGCCTTTTACTCATCTTTCCTGTTTTCTTGTGCAAAGACAGAGCCCTTACTCTCTGGGAACTAACACTCTAGTAGAAAAATACCAAACAGATGTAACCACTGGTTTTTACCATTTTGCTGTGAGTTAACTAAGTAGAGTCAATGTCCCCTAACAATTTGATCCTCACAAAAGTTTAATAAATTAGCATAAGAAAAAAAAACAATAATTGTTATTGTCATTAATCTTAGGAAAACTGCTGTCCCAAGATGTCAATTGACTGTCATAATGTTGTAAGGTGGGCATGAGACAACATTTAAAGTAGATGCCAGATTATCCATTGCAGCTGGCTGCCTCCGCCCATAAAAATGAATTGAAACACACTGTGAAGCGAAATGAAGCCAAGCAGGTGTCTTTAATGAAGATATCTTTACACAAAACTGCATGGGAATTGGAATGGGCTTGCAGACCAAGCACAGGGAAGCAATCAACAAGGTTAGCCAAAACTCAGAAAAACTCCGTCACAAAAGCCAATAAACTGCTTGCCCAGATCACCAGGAAGGAAACCCTGATTGAAACCAAAGACCAGAAGAACAGACCAACCAGAGATTTTAGAATCACAAATTTCAGACACACGGGCCAAAGATGTGTCTGAGGATGCTGAGTAAACCAGGGGTCCCAGTTGGGCTTAAATCCAGGTCTTTTGAAACCTAGTTTGCTTTCCACAGAACCACAATGGCTCTTGTTTTTTTGTTTTGTTTTTTGTTTTTTACTCTGTAAAATGAGAGAAGAGGGCAGCTATTGTACCAGCTTATCTCTGAGGTCCTTTCCACCAATAGCATCCTATGATTTCATTCTCATCTGTTCTATTCTATTCTATCCTGGCCTAGTTTCTTCCCATATTCAATCTGATTAATTCCTGCCATTTTTAAAATTATCTTTACCATTTAACTATTTTTAGGTATACAATCCAGTGGCATTGAGTACATCCACAATGTTGTGGAACTATCACCAATATCATCCCAAACAAAAACTTTGTATACATTAAACAATAACATTCTATTCTCCCTTTCTCCCAGAACCTTGTAACCATGATCCTTTTTTCTATTTATAAATTTTATTTTTCTAGGTATTTCATATAAATGGAACTATACAATTCTGTCTCTTTTGTGACTTAGCATAGTGTTTTCAAGTGTCATCCATGTTGTAGTATGTGTTAGAATTTCATTCCTTTCTAAGGGAACGATGTTCCATTGTATGTGCATATCACCACATTTTGTTTATCCATCCATCCACCGATGGACATCTGAGTTGTTTCCATTTTTGCCTATTGTGAATAATGCTGCTAGGAATATGATTGTGCATGTATCTTCTTTAGTCCCTGCTTTCAATTCTTTTGCATATACACCCGGAAGTGGAATTGCTGGACCATACAGTAATTTTTGGTTTAACTTTTTAAGAAATTGCTAGCTGCATATTTTTAACCCAATTTCAGCAATGAGACTTTACCTGTGAAAGCCCAAGAATGATGCTAATGCTCATTATTCATAGGTTTGTAAAATAATTACTGAGTTCAGCTACATGCTAGGACTGTGTCAGGTACTGGGACTCCAGTGATGAGCAAACCCAGACACAATCCCTGATCACATGGAGCTCTCAGTTTGTTAGGAAACCAAGCATTAAACAAACATATGCACCATGAGGTAATCAGAGTAGCATAAGGGCTCTAAAGACACAGTATGAAATATTTTATCTTAAGAAGTTAGGGAAAGGCTGCTAGAAAATGATGTTTAAGCTGAGATCTGGAAAATAACCAAAAGCAGTTGTCAGAAAACTGCAGCCAACAGGCAAATCCAGCCTTGTTTTTATAAATAAAGTTTTATTGGAACACAACCATACCCATTTGCTTATATATTATTTATGAATACTTTCATGATATAATACCAGGGTTGGGTAGTTGTGACAGACACCATATAGCTCAAAATACCTAAAATAGTTACCTAGTCCTTGGCAGGAAGTTTGTCAAATGCTGACCAAAAGTCAGTGAAGAGGGAATGAACAGGTAGATAGTATAACTGAAGAGGAGACAGTATGTGTGTGGGCCTGAGAAGGAAGAGCACAGCATAGTCAAAGAACTTGGAGTGGCTGTATTAGTTCACTTAGAAGGGAATGGAATTCTGACACATACTACAACATGGATGAAACTTGAAAACACTATGCTAAGTGAAATAAGCCAGGCACAAAAACACAAGTATCATAACGAGTTATCACTAAGTTGGTGATTTAAAACAACAGACATTTATCATCTTATAGTTCTAGGGGCTAGAAGCCTGAAATACGGATGTGAGTGGGTTGTTGCCTTCTGAAGGCGCTAAGGGGGAATCCATTCTGTCTCTTTCCT
This sequence comes from Homo sapiens, assembly GCF_000001405.40. NCBI lineage: Eukaryota > Metazoa > Chordata > Mammalia > Primates > Hominidae > Homo > Homo sapiens. The sequence goes on along the minus strand of NC_000005.10, from coordinate 155,581,814 downwards.
AGCTTCTGGTGACTTCTGGCAAGCCTTGACTGATTGCACTAATTGCTGCCTCCATCTTCACATGGTCTTCCCCTCTGCGTGTCTCCGTGTCCTCTCATTTTCTGTCTCCTATGAGGACACTTGTCACTGGATTTAGGGCCCCACTCTAATTCAGGATGATCTCATCTCATTGTGGGATCCTTACACTAACGACACTTATAAAGACTCTTAGTCCAAGTAGGTTCGCGTTCTGAGGATCCATGTGGACTTCTATTTTGTGGCTCCATGATTCAGCCCACCACAGTAGTCAGAGAACTCATGAAGGACAATGCAATGGAGAAGAGGATTAGAGATGAAGACTGTCAGGAGGTGAGCCTAGAGAGTTGAGAGAGACCAACTCTTATGGACTCTTAAAGGACACACCATTGAACAGAGGATTCCTTTACACCTGCAGTGACCCAAGAATATTGTCATGCAATTTAACATGTACTTTTTAAAAAGTAGATGAAAAAGATGGTGTTTTAATTGATAAGCTCAAAGGACCCCAGAATTACTTTTCCAATCATTATTTCTTCCAAATGGAGGCCCCCCAAAGTGTCAGATTAGTAAGCAGCAGAAAACGCTTGACAGAAAAATTAATATTTGGGCATGATGCTTAGATTAAAAACATCAAGATTTTTGAAATGTAATGTGAGTACTGTGGATACTACTTTTTTCTAATAATTCACATTGTCTTTTTTTAAAAGATTCATTTGTCAAAAACTAAATCATTTAGACAACTATTCTCAAGCTTATACTCCTTCTTCTCCAGGATTGAGGTTACGTAAACTCTGCCCATTTCATTCGTGATGGCCAAGGCTGACTTTTGAAGACAGATCTTTAAGCAGTTTCCATCCAATGCTCAGAGCATAACATCAGGTCTCAGCTATTGCCGATTCAGCCTGACCTTGTTCCCTGGTTGGGGAATTAAATGACTCCATTCACTTCCCAGACCCTGTCTGTTCCTTGCAATACAGTGCTAGTGGCAGGAATCCTGCTTTCCTCCCAGGGACTGAGGTTCTGAGTTAATAATTTCCATTATATGCCACTCCCCCAATATTATAGTCATCCTTTACTCTTATCAGTAACCCATTTAGGGATGCTCCTAACTTCAGACTTCTTGCCGGGAAGCTGTTACCATCTGATAAACTTCCGTAGTGAGTACACGAGATCAGACATGCAAGAAATGTAACTACATTTTTTTCTTGAATTGAATTGAATTTCTATTCTGAGCTTTCCTTCTTTGTGATAAAAGCTGAACTCATTCAATTTAGAATGTCCCCATCCCTCTTCTTTTCCAGGGTTGCATAGGGCTGTGACATAAGTGGGGAGGAACTGATAAGGGACACTATCATCTGTCCACATTGGCATCTTCTAAGATAACTTCATTCTAATCCAGTCTCCATAAGATCTCTGTTGTATCCTCTTCTGCCCAATCCCAGGGATGCTGAAGATCTGGCTCTGCTAAATGGCCACACCTTGGAGTGAGAAGGCCACACCTCTGCCACTCTGAGGGCTGGGAAGGTTGGTGGTCCTACCCAGATGCTCCATATAGTCATTTCTGGACTATTATTCCTGCAGCATTCCAGGTGCAAGGGAAGGCTGGGATCTTAACTACTGTCTAGGGTTTATCCAGAGGTGGGAGAAGCAGATTCTTCTTCTCAGTTTCCTTATGTCCTTCTGGGGTTGCCCTCTCTACCTCCAGCCCCAAACTCAGAAGAAGGGAAAAGAATATGAGACTCCTTCTCTGGAACCCACTCTGGACCAAGTCTCTTTTCCCCACTCTGATTTTCCCTCCCTCTCTTGCTACAGTGTTTTATCTAGTCTCAGGGACAGAGAAACTGGACATGACTACCTATATTTTTCCAAGTATTTTTAGTTTATACTTGAAGCTTGACTTTCAAAACTCCAAAGCAAGAAAGTTTATTCTTTTATTTTGTGTTAGTATTGCCCCATCCTCCTCCTTGAGGGTAGGAGTTATAGAATATATATCTAACTGTTCTATAAATGGAAGAAAGGCAAAGAGATAAAAGGGAGTGAAAGAGAGAAACAGATTAATATATCAAAGTAGTATCCCACTATGCTTTCCTTATGCCAACTGCCTGTGGGCTACATCTGAATTCATCATTTCTACATCCTGCTAGTCTGGTGGAGTCCCACATTAATTGATAGTAGTTCTTCTAGTACCTGGGCTTCCAGTACTTGTACTCTACGACAAACGGAATCCAGTCTGCTGTAATGCACTTGCTCCATCATCCATTCATGCATTCATTCACTCTCTACTTTGATTCGTATATGTTGAGCCTTACTAATAATGTCAGACCCTGTGCCTGGCATTAGGACACAGAGATGATCCTGAACACTAGCATCTTTTTGTGGACAGGACTACTCCATTTTGGCATTATTGGCATTTTGGACTGGATAATTGTTGTGGGGGCTGTACTATGTGTTACACTATGCTTAGCAGCATTCCTGGCTCTACGTACTAGATGCCAGTAGCATCCCCCAATGATTATAAAAAATGTCTGGACATTACCAAATGTCCCTTGGAGAGCAAACTCATCCCTGATTGAGAATCACCATTCTAGCAGAGGACACAGGCACATAAATAGACCATTATAACACAGCGAGGTCAGTGCATGGATAGAAACACACTAGTTAATGTGGAATGCTAATTAAGTCATTTAACCCACTCTAGGTGAGGGTGGGTAGGGTGAGATAAGACAGTGATGCCTGAACAAACAATGCTTACATAATGCTCTGAACCACAACTCATATTGCTGTTCCACATTTCTGCTCTACCATTCACCATTTGTTTATTCATTCAATAAATATTTCTGAGAACTGACGCTAGGAGCTAGACATTGAATGTACAAAAAATAGTAAGACAGAGCTCCTGCTTGCACAGAAGCCATGTGTAATTACAATTAAGACCATGGGCTCCAGAGGCAGACTGCCTGGTTTCCAATTCCGATCCAAACCTACTACTTGTAAGCTCTGTGACACTGGGCAACTTACTTAACCTCTCTGATCTAAAATTTCTAATTCTGTAAAACAGCAATAATAATAACAACTACCTCTTGGAGTTAATCAGATTAAAAGAGATAATTCTTATAAATCTCTTAGCATCTGGCCTAGTGAATGGAAAGCACAGAATAAATGGTAGTTTTTATCAGTGATTGTCCAAGTTCTATATTATAATGAGAAGGTCTTGTTCTAAGCCAGGGCCTCTCATCAGTGCCACTGCAGTTAATTGGACTATATCTAGTCGTATCCTGAGATGTGACAAGCAGAGACTCAGTATCTTGTCATCATTGGATTTCCATTAAAATACCATTAAGATTAAAAGTACTAAAAAAATCTTAATTAGGGCATTAATTTTCACAGTAATAAATTAAAATTTTCAGGTCAGCTACAATAACCATAATAAACCCCAAAAAAGAGAGAAAGAAAGAAAAATTCTGGAAACCAAACCACACAGTCTCAAATTTTAGCCTCATTTCTCAGTTGATATTTTCAGTCAAAAAATGTTTTTCTTCCATTTTAATACAAAAATGTTAGTTTGAAGACTCTATTTTCTCCCAGACTTTGTGCAATTTTTGGCTCATGTTTGAGCATAACAATTACTCAGCAAAGAGAAGCTTGGGGATGGTTTAATAACAGCCTTCAAATATATGAAAAGTTATTACACGGAACATGATGACCAGCTGTTCCCTACTTTCACAGAGGACTAAGAAAAATGAATAGGCTGAAAATTACAGGGGCTGACAATTTGAGGTAGACTCACTGAAGAACTTTGCAGAGTATAAAGTCAGTGTAGAAAACCTAAAAAAGAAAAGAGTTTGGAAAATATAGTACAGCAAAAAGAATACTGAGATTCCAGGGATGTAAGTTCTTGTGCTAACTCAAAACCCATGGCTTTCTGCAAGCCACTGACCCTCTGAAGCTGTTTTCTAATCTGCAAAATCTTCCACAAGTTCCTTGTTACACAATGCAGTCATAGTTTAGCCAGAATCTCCCTAAGACTGAATAGTCTGTGGATACAAATGAGGTCACTTTAAATTAGTGGTTATCAACTGGGGGTGATTTTGCCTTCCAGGGACATTTGGCAAAGACTGGAGACATTTTCAATTGTCACAAGTGGGGGAGGAAAGGTGCTACTGACATTTAATGAACAAGGTCACGGATGCTGCTAAATAGCCTACCATGCAGAGGACAGCATCCCACAAGATACAATTATCTGGTTCAATGTGTGAAGAGTGCCAAGATTGAGAGACTCTTCTCTAAAGTAAGAACTTAACTTTTTCTACTTTGTACACCTGCCCATATAACACCATAGTGCACAGGGTTTGCCCACTAATTTTTGAGAGTCCTTGAGTATGGTAGCTATTGATATTCATGGAGCATTTCTAGCTCTCTGCCTCTTGAGTCATGGTAAGGCTGCACTTTCCTACTCCCTTTGAAGTTAGGTATAGCCATGTGACTTGTTATAGTCAATGAAGTTTGAATGGAAGTGATGTGCTTATTTTGAAGGGCTAGTGGGTGATTCACTGTGGTCCTGTCCCACTACTGCAACAGTCTTGGAACCACAGGTCAGGCTCATGATGAAGCCCTTGTCCACCTAGCTTGCTCGGTTACTAAGATGAGCATTACCCTTGACCAACCATGATGGATGTGTAATATTAGAAGTATATATTTTTCCCCAAATTGGGCATATCTAAGAATATGAATGTTATGTAGATACAAAAATACGATTTTAGAAGAGCATGATGTTAAGAGTGTAGGTTGTCAAGTTAAACCTCCTTGATCCAAACCTGGCTCTACTTCTTATTAGCTGTCTGACCTTGAGTAAGTTAACTTCTCTGCATTCTACTTTCCTCATGTGTAAAATGGGGTGATTGATAGCATCTTCCTTTGAGGTCAGATGGGAATATACACATTGAGCAATTAGTAAGGTGCCCTTATTATTAAGCACTTTGTAAATAGTGACTCAATCCTCATATCAGCTTTGTGCGGTAATCACTACTATTATTCCCGTTGCATGGATGATGAAACTGAGGCACTGAGAGGGTAAATAACTTGCCCAAGCCCGTAGAACCACCAAATGGCAGAGGCATTCAAACTCAGGCTGTCTGGCTACAGTCCATGCTATTAGCCATAACGCAATGACAGTGATGATGATAATGAAGATTACATCATTGTCTTAAAAAATGTGATCCATTGGGCCATGCTGAATTACAGACAAGTATATGGCCAGAGTCTACCCTCAGAAAGTTCACAGTCTATTAGGAAAGCTGAGACATGAACTTCACAAGTGCCCAGGCAAGGTAGAATGTGATCAGTGCCATAAAATTGAGAAAGATAAGTGCTTTGGCAATTTTATTAAATCTCTCATTTAACCCTCAGTTAACTTGAAAATTCAATTAACCAGAAGCATTACTCATATGTTCCCATTAATCAAGGTTTTATAATATCAGTTGAACTGATTTAACCTTAATAAACAGATGATTGCACATGGATTGCAGGAGGACTTAGGAGCACAATAACTCAGAAATCAGCTCCACGACTAAGTGCTTTCCTAAAAGCAAAGGAAACACTGCAGGACAGAAAGGGAAGAGGAGAGAAAACAGTGAGTGCTTAGCACAACACAGCAATGAAGGGGAGAAAATCTTGGTTTGTGGAAGACTAAGTAGGTCAGAGGAGAAAGAAAAACCCTTTGGCATCACTGACATTATCTGAGTAACGTCTGTCAGAGCAGATGGCCCTGCTCTTCTAGCAGACAGTCCAAGGGACAGTAACTGGTGAGACAAGGTGTGCCCATCTATGTAAAACCAATTGTGAGCATGGACAATCATTTATTGAGCCCGCAAGCATGATTGTAAGGAATAGTAAAGAACTCAAAAGGCCATGAGATTTAGGACACATGCAGAGCAACCATGCAGATTACATTCATTGCTCCTCCTGTATAAGGTAACCTTCTTTCCTTCCATCCTGGGAAAATCCAATTCATCCTTCAAGGCCCAAGTGCCCTAAGAGTTGTTTTATAAATACTCCATAAAAAATTAAATTGTTTCTTTTTCTGTATTTACATGGCTCTTCATTTATGTGCACTCTATACTAGTTTTCACATTGCAATTTATACAATAGGCTTTTCTAGAAAGGAGAGAACAATGTGGTCTTGAATAGTTATAGAAAGTTTTGTAAAGATTAATATATACCACCAAATACAAAGATCTGGAGCACATCTCTCTACAGGCAACTATGCCCCTTTTCTAGTTTTATGAGTCACACGTCAATGCTTGTGACTCAGTGATACTCATTGAGTATGTATCTCGTGGTGAAAATTTTATGGTATTTCTTCCTCAGTCTTCTTGAATAATGAAATAAGAAAATTGTGTCCCAAGAAAGAGTGTCCAACACTCAAGCAGAGATGTGAAGGTTTGGTTTGGTATAGAGAGAGAGGGAGTGAGGTGCAAGAAGCAAGAATTCAGATCTCCTTTAGGAGTAAGAGTAATCCTATTGACATATGGCAACAATGAACCAAAAGTACATGAAATTGAATCAATGTCCCCATTTTAAGAGCATACTAAGTCATACTAACAATGAAGTTAGAACACACACCTTGAACATATTTTTCTTTCTTTCTTTCTTTTTTTTTTTTTTTTTTTTGAGACAGAGTCTTGCTCTGTCACTCAGGCTGGAGAGCAATGGCACAGTCTTGGCTCATTGCAACCTCCACCTCCCGGGTTCCAGCAATTCTCCTGCCTCAGCCTCCCACGTAGGTGGGATTACAGGTGCCTGCCACCACACCCAGCTAATTTTTCTTTTCTTTTTTTTTTTTTTTTGGTTTGTTTGTTTTTTTCGTAGAGACAGGGTTTTGCCATTTTGGCCAGGCTGGTCTCAAACTCCTGACCTCAGGTGATCCAACTGCCTCAGCCTCCCAAAGTGCTGGGATTACAGGCATGAGCCACCGTGCCTGGCAAAGATATTTTTCTTAATCCCACCTAGCTGGAGTTCATCTTCTCAGTCCCCTTTTGCTCATGCCATTTTATACCCCCATTTTAGCACTTTTAGTTGCTGTGGCCATATCTGCCTCCCCAACAAGACTGTGAACCAAAGGTGAGAATTAAACTTTACTTTTGTCTCTTGAACTGAATTGAAAAGACAACGTCACCAATCAGTTTTTCAAATAACAACCCAAAGAGCTGACTCAGACCTCTCCTCTGTGGAGCAATGAAGGATTTCATTCTTACACAAGGGAGCATATGTGAGCCTGTCCTTTCATTAGAATGAAAGGTGACTGTCTACTGTGGTCACCTCATTGAGTTCCACAGCCTCTAAAATCACTGTAGCCAGAAATAGTCGGAGAAGTGAAAGTCTCAAAATTAATATTAGCAAATCTGGGGCCAAACCTTCACTTGTGGATTGGATTCATTCTCATTTTCCACCACCCTCTTAAACCGATTTTAGCCAAATAATGCTGTGGATATGTGGTCTTAGAAGACTCTTGAACAAATGACTTCCTGGATTGGCATTTCCCTCCTGGGATTTGCTACAAGCTTACACTAAATGTCGCAGATGAGACCTGAAGCCAATCAATGATTTCTTTTGCAGAGTGTATCTGTGTAAGCATATGTATGTGTGACTTGATGCACTCTGATTAGAGTTGTTCCTGCTTCCTACAACACTATCTTCACCTTCTCATTAAAGGCTTTTTATTACCAAGTCTCCATTTCAGTCTATTAAGCACTTTAAGCACTTAGCAATGTAATTGGTATGTATGTTTAGACACAATGAATCTCACATCATATGTCCAGTTAGTGCAAACAAAATTGGACTGCAAAAACACTAGTATGCGATATGACCTTAAATTCTAAAACATGATAAATTCCTTCTTTACTGTCCCCTTGCAATACATGCCTTTACTTATTACAATTCCCATTGTTATTATGAAAGAGACAATTGTAAACAATTCCGTTAGCAATCTCAGGTAGGCAGCCCAGAAGTTACTGCCTGTTCTCAAAGAGAATAATAAACCAGAAAAATTCACTTAGACATTATGACATTCATTCCTTACTCAACAAATACTTATTAGGGCATCACCATGTAAAGAGAATCACACAGGTCCTCTAGGAGGCTTTTACTCTTACATTGTGGTGCTTACTACAATTTAGAGCTAGATGTTACCAAATTAATCTTCTTCCCTCCTGTATTTTATAGAAGTGATATCTGAGGCTCAATTTATGTGACTTGCTCAAGAACCATGTCTAATGAATGCTGTAAACAAAACATTGTATACAGAGGCAGAAGTAATCATTTGAAAAATGCATTTGGTTACAGTGTTTCTAGCACTAACATCGGCCAAAACTGTGGATAGTCTTCACCACCTTTGTTACCTCCTTTCTATATTCTGCCCATTGAGATCTTCTAACACGTGTTTTAAATAAAGAATATGAAAAATGTTCTAGCCACCATGATTGGTGTGGGGAGTTAAATAGAACAGTACTCAAGAAGGAAATAAAGATTAGGTTATTGAGAAAATGTAGGAGACTTTGGCTCCCATTTATGGCAAGGAGGGTCATCCTGGTATTAGCAGCAAAATAATTCAAACAAATCCTCCTGCTGAGGACAGTCAGAAAATTTGGACAAGATATAAAAATGTTTGCTTAAAGGCAGCAGAGATAGTAAAGCTATGAGAAACTACTGGACCAATATACTGGAAAAGAAAATCCAAAGATATGAGTCAGACATTTGGAGCGACTTTTGATTTCAGGGCATTTGCAAAACTAGAATAGACAGTGATGCCAAGCACCACTTTTGCCAGCCTCTTGGGGATTGGAGCAAGATTTGGGTTACAGTATCTGCCAAGTGTAAGCACTATGGTCAATCCTCCAACTTCATTTTTGACCAAGATTTCAAAGCAAATTGCATGCCTGAAAATAGAGGGAAACTGAGCCTTTTCGTGGGCTTCAGATTAACTTTGCATTATCTGGGTGGGCCAGAAAATGGTAAGCTCTATAGTTGGATTAAGGTTACCCCAGATAACTAGTACATTCAGGTACCTAGTAGAGGTAAATTATATTTCTCTCTAAAGGAACATAACATCATGCTAGGCTTCAAAATAATTTCAAATTCAGTATCAGTCATACAGTAAAGACAATAAGACAAAAGAAAACAGGACAACATGAACAAGAGCCAGCAGAAACAACAAGTAATAGAAGCATGTCTCCAGGAGTCTCCAGACATTAGAGCTACCTCACACATATTTTAAGAAACTATGTTAATATGTGAAGGGAGGGGAGAAGAGGATTGAAATTTTCTGAGAACTATAAGAACTGACTAGCATCTTTGAGAAACAAATAGAAATTCTAGAACCAAAACAAAATACAACTATAATAACTCAGCAGAGGAGTTAATATCATATTAAAGATAACTAAAGAGAAAAATAGTAAATTGGAAGGCATATCTAAAATTCTTCAGCAGTCACATGAAAAAGAACAGGTGAAAGGCATAGATGATAGAGGGTAAGGTGTAGGTTGAATTAGAATCTTAGGAAGGCAGGAGGAGACATGGGTCAGAAGAAATATTTGAAACAGGAAGTATTAAGGATTTCCCAAGACTGATAAAGCATGTCAAATCACAGATTTAAGAATTCCAAAGAATCACAATCAGGATAAAGGAACGAAACCCCCATGTAGGAAAAGTAAAACTACTGAAATCCAAAGATGAAGAGAAAACTCTAACAGTCAGATGGAAAAATCCACAAGATACCTTCAAAAACCATTGAATAACACTTTGGGAGGCCAAGGCAGGCAGATCATTTGAGGTCAGGAGTTCCAGAACAGCCTGGCCAACATGGTGAAACCCTGTCTCTACTAAAAAAAAAAAAAAAAAAAAAAAAAATGTAGCCAGGTGTGGTGGTGCCTGCCCATAATCCCAGCTACTTGGGAGGCTGCGGCAAGAGAGAATCACTCGAGTCCAGGAAACAGAGGTTCCAGTGAGCCGAGATTGCACCACTGCACTCCATCCTGGATGGTAGAGACTCTGTCTCAAACAAACAACAAAAAAAGCAAGAATAGGAAAGACAGGTGATTTTCACCAAGAACACAGGAACAAAAGAATCGAATGCAATGAAATATTATCCTCAATGTGCTAAAAATGAAAACAAATCAAAACAAGAATTCTATACCCTACCAATATGTCTTCAAAAATGAAAGCAAAATAGTTTTAGAAGACAACAACAAGGCCGGGCGCGGTGGCTCACGCCTGTAATCCCAGCACTTTGGGAGGCCGAGGCGGGTGGATCATGAGGTCAGGAGATCGAGACCATCCTGGCTAACAAGGTGAAACCCCGTCTCTACTAAAAATACAAAAAATTAGCCGGGCGCGGTGGCGGGCGCCTGTAGTCCCAGCTACTCGGGAGGCTGAGGCAGGAGAATGGCGTGAACCCAGGAAGCGGAGCTTGCAGTGAGCCGAGATTGCGCCACTGCAGTCCGCAGTCCGGCCTGGGCGACAGAGCAAGACTCGGTCTCAAAAAAAAAAAAAAAAAAAAAGAAGACAACAACAAAAACTTGAAAGAATTTGTCACCAGCAGACTCCCACTGAAACTATTAAAGGGCATTCTTTAGGGAAAAGGAAAATAAGATCAAACATTCAAGGAAAAATATAAAGTAATGAAAATGGTAAACATGTTTAAATCCACGTTAACACTCACTGAATTGAATAGAGAATAAAAATAAACATCAATAATAGTGTATAATTTAAGTGAGATTTAAATGTTGATAAAGAGTTCCAAGATGCTTGCTTGCTTTGTCTAAGTACCAATTAACATTAGAGTTAGCAAGTAAAGAATACATGTTGTAATCTTGTAGCAGTCATCTATCACCACAAAAGTGCTGCATAAAAATAACTATAAAATCTCTGTAGCTTAAAATACTCATCATTGATTGTTACCAATCTGGGTCAACATAGGCAGCACTGCTTCAGGTGCAGGTCTGTGGGTCTAGGTCTGCTCCAAGTGTCTCTCATCTTCCCTGGGTCAGCAGGTTAGCTGGACATGTTCTTCTCATGGCAATGGCAGTAGAGAAAGCATATTTCAAGACCCTGCCTGTGTCATGTTTTCTAACATTCTATTTACCAGAGCAAATCTTATTGCCAAACTGAAAGGCAAGTGGCAAGGCAAAAGGTAGCTGCAAATAAAAATCTAAGGTTCAGGAGTGAGGTATGACTTAGAAATATAGTTTTATCAAAAACAACCTCATTAAAAAGTATGCAAAAGATGGCCAGGCACAGTGGCTCACGCTTGTAATCCCAGCACTTTGGGAGGCGGAGGCAGCCGGATCATGAGGTCAGGAGATCTAGACCATCCTGGCTAAATGGTGAAACCCTGTCTCTACTAAAAATGCAAAAAAAAAAAATTAGCCAAGCGTGGTGGTGGGCGCCTGTAGTCCTAGCTACTCGGGAGGCTGAGGCAGGAGAATGGCGTGAACCTGGGAGGCGGAGCTTGCAGTGAGCCGAGATTGCACCACTGCACTCCAGCCTGGGCGACAAAGAGACTCTGTCTCAAAAAAAAAAAGAAAAAAAGAAAAAACGTAGGCAAAAGACATGAACAGACACTTCCCAAAAGAAGACATACGTACGGTCAACTAACATGAAAAAATGTTCAACATCCAAACCATCAGAGAAATGCAAATCAAAACCACAATAAAATATTACACCAGTCAGAATGGCTAATATTAAAATGTAAAGTAAAACAAAAACAAAAACATTTACTGTCAAGGCTGCAGAGAAAAGAGAACACCTATACACTGCTGGTGGGAATGTAAATTACTTCAGCCATTGTGGAAAGCGTTTTCAAGACCTCTCAAGAACTTAAAACAGAACTACAATTCAACCCAGCAATCACATTACTGGGTATATATCTGATATGGTTTGGATCTTGTGTTCCCACCAAAATCTCATGTTAAATTGTAATCCCCAGTGTTGGAGGTGGGGCCTGGTGGGAGGTGACTGGATCATGGGGTCAGATTTCTCATGGATTTTTCAGTACCATCCCCTTGGTGCTGTCCTCATGATAGTGTATGAGTTCTCATGAGATCTGGTCATTTAAAAGTCTGTGGCATCTTTCTCCACCTCTTGCCCTGGCTCTGACCATGTGACATGCCTGCCCCCACTTTACATTCTGCCATGATTATAAGCTCCCTGAGGCCTCACCAGAAGCTGAGCAGATGCCAGCATCATGCTTCCTGTACAGTCTGTGGAACTGTGAGCCAATTAAACTGCTTTTCTTTATAAATTACCTAGTCTCAGGTATTTCTTTATAACAGTGCAAGAATGGACTAATACAATATCCAAAAGAAAATAAGTTGTTCTACCAAAAAGACATATGCATTCATATGTTCATCACAGCACTAGTCACAATAGCAAAGACATGGAATTAACCTATGTGCTCACCAACGGTGAATTGGATAAACAGAATGTGGTACATATACACCATGGAATACTATGCAGCCATAAAAAAGAACAAAATCATGTCTTTTGCAGCAACATGGATGGAGCTGGAGACCATTATCCTAAATGAATTAACACAAATACTGCCTATTTTAACTTATAAGTGGGAACTAAACATTGGGTATTCATGGACACAAAGATGGCAAGAATAGACACTGGAGACTACTAGAGGGGAAAGGGAGGGAAAGGGCAAGGGTTGAAAAACTGTTTGGTACTATGCTCATTACTTGGGTGATGGAATCAGTTTTACCCAAATCTCAGCATCATGCCATATACCCATGAAATAAACCTACACACACCCCCTGAATCAAAAATAGAAGTTGAAATTATACATACATACATTCTTACATATATACATGAGAGACAGCTTTAGACATCATGAACATATTAGTCATAGACTAAACTCTGAGACTGGGTGAAATTTCCCTGTCTCCCACCATCCTCTTAAGTGTAGATTTTCATATTTATTGTTTTAAAACATTTATTTTCTAGATCTCTATTATATCCCTGCCTTTGAAATAAGCAAAAGAGAAAAAGATCCTAAATGACCTAGCCCATATCTTTTAAACTGGCTAATTCTTGGATAAGCCATTTAATATTTCTGAATCGCAGTATACTTGTCTGTAAAACAGAGCTAATTATCAAGAACCCTCTCACAAGGTGCTGGGAGAATTGGCTTAACAGGTATTTAAAGTTATGAGTAGTAATATGTTTTTCATTTGTATAGCAAGACAGACTAAAACACAAGACCCAAAACTACGTCTTATAGGACATAGATAGGAATGGAATTTAGGAATCAAATTTTTCATTCCTGTGTTCCTCAGATAAAATATTGTCTGTCCTCTTCTCCTCTTCCCCAAGCAAAAAAATGTAAACAAAAGAAACGTGTCTCTGAAGAATACAGCAGGATGGTCATTGTTTCTGTTCACATTCATTGCTTGTACACTATTTTCTATGTGCCTTTGTGAATTAATGTGCCATTTGAATTATGTGCCATTTGAATCTTACAACAACCCTGTGAGGTGGGTACTAGTGCAAGTCCCATTTTATTTATTTATTTTTCTTTTAACTTTTATTTTAGCTTCAGGGGTACATCAGGATTGTTATATAAACTGCATGTCACAGGGATTTGGTGTACGGACTATTTCATAAACCAGGTAATAAGCATAATACCCAATAGGTATTTTTTCTGCTCCTCTCCCTCCTCCCAACCTCCACCATCAACTAGGCTCTAGTTTCTGTTGTTTCCCCTAGTGTTCACGTGTTCTTGTTGTTTAGCTCCCACTTGTAAGTGAGAACATGTAGTATTTGGTCTTCTATTCCTGTATTAGTTTGCTTAGGATAATGGCCTCCAGCTCCATCCATGTTGCTGCAACAGACATGATTTTGCTCTCTTTTATGGCTGCATAGTATTCCATGGTGTATATGTACCCATATTTTCTGTATCCAGTCTACCATTGATGGGCATTTAGGCTGATTTCCTGTGTTTGCTATTGTGAATAGTGTTTTGATGAACATATGTATGCATGTGTCTTTATGGCAGAGTGATTCATATTCCTCTGGATATACACCCAATAATAGGGTTGTTTGGGTGAATGGTAATTTTAAGTTCTTTGAGGAATTGCCACATTGCTTTCCACAATGGCTGAACTAATTTACGCTCTCACCAGCAGTGTATAAACGTTCCCTTTTCTCTGCAACTTTGCCAGCATCTGTTATTTTTTGATATTTTATTAATAGTCATTCTTACTGGTGTGGGATGGTATCTCATTGTGGTTTTGATTTGCATTTCTCTAAAGTTTAGTGGTGTTAAGAATTTTTTCTTATTCTTATTGGCTGCATGTATGTCTTCTTTTGAAAAAGTGTCTATTCAGACCAGTCACAGTGGCTCACACCTGTAATCCCAGCACTTTGGGAGGCTGAGGTGGATGGATCACTTGAGCTCAGGAGTTTGAGACTAGCCTGGGCAACATGGCAAAACCTCGTGTCTATAAAAAGTACAAAAACTTAGCCAGGCATGATGGCGCATGCCTGTAGTCCCAGCTACTTGGGAGGCTGAAGTGGAAGGATTCCTTGAGCCAAGGAGGTGGAGGTTGCAGTGAGCCAAGATGGCACCACTGTACTCCAGCCTGGGTGACATAGTAAGACCCTGTCTCAAAACAAAGAAAAATGTGTCTGTCATGTTCTTTGCCCAGTTTTTAATGGGCTTGTTTGGTTTTTGCTTGTAAATTTGTTTAAGTTTCTTATACATGTTGGATATTAGACCTTTGTCAGATGCATAGTTTGCAAATATTTTCTCCCATTCTGTAGTTTGTCTGTTTACACTGTTGATAGTTTCTTTTGCTGTGCAGAGGCTCTTTAGTTTAATTAGGTCCCACTTGTCAATTTTTTGTTGCTATTGTTTTTGGCCTGTTCGTCATGAACTCTTTGCCAGGTCCTATGTCTAGAATGGTATTTCCTAAGTTATCTTCCAGGGTTTTTATAGTTTTAGGTTTTACATTTAAATATTTAATCCATCTTGAGTTGGTTTTTGTACGTGGTGTAAGGTGGTTCAAACTCCTGCATATGGCTAGCCAGTTATCCCAGTGCCATTTATTAAATAGGGAGTCTTTTCCCCATTGCTTGTTTTTGTCAGTTTTGTCAAAGATCAGATGGTTGTAGGTGTGCAGCCTTATTTCTGAGCTCTCTATTCTGTTTCATTGGTTTATGTTTCTGTTTTTGTACCAGTACCATGCTGTTTTGGTTACTGTAGCCTTGTAGCATAATTTAAGGTTGGGTAACATGATGCCTCTGGCTTTGTTTTGTTGTTGTCGTTAGGATTGCTTTGGATATTTGGGCTCTTTTTTTTATTTCATATGAATTTTAAAATAGATTTTTCTAATTCTAATTCAAGAATGTCATTGGTAGTTTGATAGGAATAATATTGAATCTATACATTGCTTTGGGCCGTATGGCCATTTTTTATTATATTGATTCTTCCTATCCATGAGGATGGAATGTTTTTCCATTTGTTTATGTCATCACTGATTTTATTTGAGCAGTTGTTTTGTAATTTTTACTATAGAAACTTTCAGCATCCCTGGTTATTTGTATTCCTAGGTATTTTATTATTTTTGTGGCCATTGTAAATAGGATTGTGTTCCTGATTTGGCTCTCAGCTTGACTGTTGTTAGTGTATAGCGCTGCTACTGATTTGTATGTTGATTTTGTATCCTGAAAGTTTGCTGAAATTGTTTATCAGATCAAGGAGCTTTTGTGCTGAGACTATGGGTAGATATAGAATCATGCCATCTGCAAATAGGGATAGTTTGACTTCCTTTCTTCCTATTTGGATGCCTTTTATTTCTTCCTCCTGCATGATTGCTCCGGCCAGGGCTTCCAGTATTCTGTTGAATAGGAGTGGTGAGAGAGGGCATTCTTATCTTGTGCCTGTTTTCAAGGGAAATGCTTCCAGCTTTTGCCTATTCAGTATGATTGCTGGCTGTGGGTTTGTCATAGATGGCTTTTATTATTTTGAGGTATGTTCCTCTGATGCCTAGTTTACTGAGGGTAAACTCCATTTTAAAGAGAAGTAAACTGAGGCACTGAGGTATTAACTTTCTCAGAGTTACACAGCTGATAATTAGCAAAGCCATGGCTCAAACCCAGAGAGTCTAACTTCAGAGAGTTTAACTTCAGAGGCCAGTGCTCTTAACCACATCTCAAATGGTGGAGATGACAAGGACAGGAAAGGATTTGTCAGGGAGGACCTTGCACACCTCTCAAGTGACTTCAAAAAGACAGCTGTGTTCATATGTTCTCTGCAGCTATGGAGGCGTTGATGCCCATGTGTTCCTTGAGGCGTGAGGTTTGCCTAATTTTGTTTCAGTCTAGAAATCATCAAGGAGAAAAATACATGACTCGGAGGGATAACAGAGACTCTCAGAGGGCTTGCACTGAATGCAGGAAACACCCTTACTTACGGCACAGAATTAAATGAAGAGAGCTAGGGGGAAAAAAAAGAGGCCTCCAGAACTCCAGAAAGGAAAGGCTATTGGCTCCTGGAGGGAAAAGCACAACTGAGATAGATAGGAAAGAAGACTTCGTTTCTTTAGTCAGCTGAGAGGACATCTAGTGATAGAAGTACACCAGATCCATATTTTCCAGAGCATGGGGCACACACCTCTGACTGCTTGCAGGATGAGATGGGGCAGTAGATGGGATTGTACCAGGTAGCACAGGTGATAGGAGTTAGTGTTACCAGTTGAGGGTAGTTGTCCAGGTTCTTGGAATTTTGAACAAAGAACTGGACAAGTACATAAGCAAGGCAGCCAAAGCAGAGATTTATTTTAAATGAGAGTACACTCCACAGGACGGGAGCAGGCCGAGCAAGCAGCTCAAGAGCACTGGTTACAGAATTTTCGGGTTTAAATACCCTCTAGAGGTTTCCCATTGATTCACTCTAGTGGCCCGCGACCAGCCGGATTGATTGAGGGAGGGGACGGTAGGCCTGCAACCAGTCCGGTTGGTTGTGAGAGGGGGCCAATCAGAGGTACTTTCATTTTCCAACTGCCACGCAGCAAGTGCCACGCAGCAACTGCCACACAGCAAAAGGAGGGGTTGGAAAGGGAGTAGCGTCTGACATCTAGTCAGCATGAGTCGGCCTTTTGTTCCCTGCCTCCAAATCCTATTCTCCTGCCTCCTTAGGTTTATGTGGGCACATCTTTAAAGAACACTGGATCACACAGGGAGAGAATTGTTCTTTTTATCTTTTTCTTTTTCATTCTTCTGATTATCATAAAGTCTTAATTTGATACTGGTATGTTTTTAAAAAGTCTGTGACACCTGTAACCTCCCCTTTCAACAAAGAGGCCCTGGCGGGTAACACAGAATTTAACTAGAAGGGAATAACATTATTCTATGTTCACTGTGCTGTGTTCATTTTTATAGTTGCCTTTTATTTATGTCAAGTTTGTTTCTTCTTGTTGTTGTTGTTGTTGTTTGAGACAGAGCCTTGTTCTGTCACGTGGCTGGAGTGGGTGATCTTGACTCACTGCAATCTCCGCCTCTGGGTTCAAGCAATTCTTGTGTCTCAGCCTCACAAGTAGCTGGGATTGCAGATGCTTGCCACCATGCCTAGCTAATTTTCATATTTTTAGTAGACACAGGGTTTCACCATATTGGCCAGGTTGGTCTTGAACTCCTGACCTCAAGTGATTCTCCTGCCTTGGCCTCCCAAAGTGCTGGGATTACAGGCATGAGCCACTGTGCCTGGCCCTATGTCAAATATTTTCTTTTATTTGTGATAATAAAAGTTTCTTTTGAAAGTAAATTTATGTAAAAAAAATGTAAATGTGTTAAAGAATTATTACATAAAAAGTAATAAAGGTTAAATGCATGCAAGGCAAAAACATAATTGTAATTATAGTGTGTAAATGACCAAGGTCTGGGGACTTTTACTCTAAACCCTTCAATAATCCATATTCTGTCTTGGATCTGTGTCCTACCCTGCAGTGCTACATCCACACAGCAAGCACTGTGCTCATTTCTGGAGATCACTCCTTAAGAGCAATTTAAACACACACTAGCCTATCCAGAATGACAGAGAACAATATAACAACAAAAGCATAAGAAGAATGTGAGTATAATGGTGGCCTCTGCATGGGGGCATGAGAGTTGTTCTGAAGAATCTAAAAAGCTGCTTCATTGGTTGGGGGGACCCTATGGGATTTAGTCTTCATGAACTACAAACATGGCACCAATGATAGATAATCTGAAGAAACAGACTTCTGCATAGCATATGGAACTTTCCTATAGCCCAAACTTTCCACAGGTAGAAAGTAGTTGCAAGAGGACAAACCTAGAGCCCAGGAGGCATGCCTGGGTTCCAGTCTTCCCCTCAACCAGGAGTTTTTGGTGAATGAGATTCTAGAGAGCAGCTTAACTGTCCAGCTTTGTGTTCCCCATGTGTAAGGTAAGAGTGTTGGACTTGATGAGAGGTGGGAAACAGGCTCACCTTGGTAATACTGATTGCTTTATAATTTGTGGCCTGAAACTCCTTGTCAAGAAAAATGTTAAGCCCATGTTCAGGTTTAGCGGGAAGAAAGACTCACTAGTAGCATCTGTCATAGATATGAGGCATACATTACCATGTTTCTAATTGCTATGAAACAAGTGATCATTAAGATTCCTCCCAGTTCTATAACACAATATCAAATTCATATCACTTCATCACGTTTGCAAGTAGGTACACTTTCAAAAGCAATTCCTGACCACAGAGGAATGCTATATTATCCTTAAACATTTTATTGCTGCATTCACTAGTGTTAATGTTGTTTATGAATAGTAATAATGGCCATTTGTGGCCATTAAGGCCTTTTTATTTTTATGAGATTATCCTAAGAGCCTCTAACCATGGAGCAATTTTGCACTATCCTGTGTTCTCAGAAGCAGACTGGCATATCTCTAGGACCTCTGTGAATTGAAATGGAATAATTGTTAAAACTTCCTGGTCTTTAGGTTTTTAATAAATGTGCTGGTTTAGTCAGCCTGTTTGACTATTGAAAGGGAAATTCTATTCTCCCTCTACTCTTCTAGGATTGACCCATACTTGTGAACTGTGATAAAAGGCCTGTTACTATTAAGATGTTTTTAACAAGCACGCCTTCTTGCAAGGGGATTTCCTCCCCAAACCAACTATGATGGTACCTAGTAAATCTGCCTTTACGAGGATTATGTGAGTTTCATTTCATTTCATTTCTCTCCTCATACATAACATGCAGGATAATAGATGATCCAGCACTCGGATGCCATGGAAAGTTCTAAAAAGGAATGCATTTGTCAAGGGCCACAGCAGACTCTGCCAACTGCTAGTACAGCTAGATTGTGATCACGCTTCATTTTTCATCAACATTCCGCTTAATTTACCACAAATGTCATTGTCCCAGGGCTGTCAGCCTGGAAAGATGATGCCCTTGTTGTGTGGGCTTCATGGGAACTGACTGTTGAGGGGCTTGAGCTGTAAGGAGTGAATCATCATTTATAATTTCCCACTCTACTTAGTTGAGGCAGGCACATGCCTTAGAGCCTGAGAAAAAGAAGGACTTGAAGCTAAGCAGATGGGCAGGCAAATATCTTAGCAGCACCTGCTGCTGGCTGTGATGGTTCCAGCTACCTGTCTTTGGGGAAGAGATTCTGTGGTCCTTACTGCTTGAAGTATATAGATCTGCACTGTCCACTACTATAGTCACTAGCCACATGTGGCTATTGAGCACTTGAAATGTGGCTAGTCCAAATTGAGATGTGTTGAGTGTATAAAATATACACCGAATTTGGAAGACTTAAAACCAGAATGTGATAATTTTTATATTGATTTCATGTTGAAATAATCATATATTGGATAAACTGGGTTAAATTATATATGCAATAACATTAATTTCACTTAATAGCATTTTACCTTTTTAATGTGGCTACTGAAAAACTGGAAATTACATACATGGCTGGCATCATGTTTATGCTGGGCCTCATTGTCCTAGAGCCAGAGTATCATGAAATCTCACCCCTTCATTTGACAGAGAAGAAAACCATGAGCTGGATTAGGCAAGGGACTTGACTGTGATCACATAGCCAGTGAGTTCAGAGGTGGGATGGGTCACCACATCTCTGATTTGCAGACTTGACCGCCTTTATCCTATGTCATCCTCTAGGGAGAAACACACAAATCTAAGAGTAAGAAGACCTGGATATCATTTCATATTCAATCTCTTACTTGCTGCTAACAGAGTGTTAACTTTCCTGTGTCTCAGTTTCGAATTTGCTAAAAAGTGTAAACGTATCCCACATGGTTAGTTGTGAATCAAAGAAATAAAATATGTGCTTTGGAAATCCTAAAGGACAACACAATACTAAGGCAGTCTAGTGTAGAATTGAAGAGTACAAACATTGGTGCAACTCACTTGTCTATACTTCATTTCTGACACCACCACCACCACCACCACCACCACCATCATTTTGGGTTACTTAACTTCTCTGAGTCTCAGTTTCCTCACCTGTACTAGTATCTTTGTCTAGAGTGGCTGGGAGAATTAAATGAGTTAATACACATAGAACACTTAGAAAAGTGCCAGGCACATGGCAAATAGAACTGTTAGCTATTTTTATTAGCAATGATACTACTCCACTTTTGTGACCCAAATTCCTGTGAGTAAAATTCATGGAAAGAACTGCTCTTAAATGTAAGCTCATGGGTAATCACCCACTTTGTGTGATTTCGGGGATAGAAGAATGGCCCAATGCCTCCAAAACAAGGATCATTTTCTCTTGAAAAAGAACGAATAGGATTTACCTGGTAGGGCTGTTGAGAGAAAACCCTATTACACTGCCTGAAAATAAACATGAGCTTTTGACTTTAAAAAACAACAATGGAAACTTTCCACTAGTAGCTTCCTTAGTACGATTAGAAATGCATCTCTTTCACTTAAAGCTGCTTTTGTTTGATCCCTCCACCTGTATTTCTTCCTTCTGTCTTCAAAAATACACATAATTCCATCAGATCCAGACTAATCTCTAGACCCTGGTGTTCCTCTAACTTCAGTGCTCTTTCCTTCCAAACACTGCCCAACTGATTTAATTAAATCCTCCACCCATATGGCCCACATTTTTCTATTCACTTTCTAATACCTCAAGTCCCTGGACTGCACCTACATCACTTACTTCTCTCTGAAAGAGGTTTGCAAAAGCACCACAAGACACCATGCGGCATTGCCTTTCTCAGTCTTTGCTGTTCTTGACTTTCTGACACACCCTCTCTTTAACTCCACCTTCATGTTCTCCTGTTACTTCTCTGACCATTCATCATCTTCCTCCTCTTCCTCTTCTTCTTCTTCTTCTCTTCTTCTTTCCTCCTCCTCCTCCTCCTCCTCCTCCTCCTCCTCCTTCTCCTTCTTCTTCTTCTTCTTCTTCTTGCTTCTCCCCTCCACCTTCCTTAACATCCAGCATTTTCTTCTTCACGCTGCCCATTCTACCTTGATGACTATTCACCTCATGGCTTCAACCTCCTACTTTGCACATACTATAGATTCTCTCTCCCTTCCCTTCCTATTTCTCTCTCACCCCTTGCCTTCCTCCCTTTTTCTTTCTCCCTTTGTTTTAAACATTCCCAAGTAAATGGCCCTTCTTCAATTGAAGCCCAAGACAAAACACCTTCTTCCTCAAGTTTCTTTTAAATGCCTGAACTCTATTTCAGTTAGAGATTTTAGTATACTCCCAGTTTTTCAAGATTAAAAACCCAAAGCTTTTTTTGATTCTTTGCTCTGTATTATAACAGGTCTGGGCTTGAGGGCTTACTTCATATCTTATTAACTCTTCAACTCGGACCAAGTTGCTGGACCTCCCTGAGCCCCATGTTTCTCATCTGCAAAAAAGAGTTGCTGTGGGGATTAAATAACATAACACATTCAGGCCGGGCGTAGTGGCTCACGCCTGTAATTCCATCACTTTGGGAGGCCGAGGCTGGTAGATCAAGAGGTCGGGAGATACAAAAAAATTAGCCGGGCATGGTGGCGGGCGCCTGTAGTCCCAGCTACTTGGGAGGCTGAGGCAGGAGAATGACGTGAACCTGGGAGGTGGAGGTTGCAGTCAGCCGAGCTCGCGCCACTGCACTCCAGCCTGGGTGACAGAGCGAGATTCCGTCTCAAAAAAAAAACACATTCAAAGTGCTTAGCATAACCTTTTCTCCACCTTGACTGTCCCCACTCCAACTAAATCTCTACCTGTTCATCAAGACTAAAATTGTTCATGGTGTTTTTCTTTCCCCTGGCAAATAAAAAATACCCGTTCAATGTCCGGCATTATTTTTATTATTATTACTCCATATTTATCTTGTAGAATTCGCATGTAGATTCCTTTATACATGTAGCAACTCATCACGACTTAAAGATTATTTCTTTGAAACATTTCTTGTGTCTTTTCATACTTTTTCATTTTTCACCCCACCATTTCTACTAGGCTTTTATCATTTTATAAAAATCTGCATTCAGTTTCAAACAGTGTCGTCATCTTCTAGTCCTTCTGTCCATTCATCTACTCTGCCAGGTTAATTGCCCTAAAATTCTACATTTTGAAAGCCTTCCATGGTTTATCATTGCCTAACATCAGCTAATAATAATAATAATAAACACCTATATACTCCATCATCTGACATAAATTACTTTTCTAGTCTCATCTCTCACTGTTACCTATAATATCCTCCACTTCAGCCCCAGGGGTTTATTTATTGTTCTTTGAATCAACTTTGTGCTCCCACTTTAGGGCCCTTGCTAACAATATTCTCAGAATGCTCCATGTTCCGATCTACCTAACCTTTTGAAACTCTGATTCTCTGAAATTTCCTTAGATTTCTTTGGCCTCTACACGTGTATACATTGTCTGAACCTATAGCTGTATCTATATGTCTTGGTTGGTCATGAATCATGTACTGCTTTGGAGCATGACTTGCATTGCTATCTTGTAAGGAGGCAGTAGGCATGGTTAGCAAGCTTATGGGCATTGAACCAAAAATTAGGCTTAAATCTGCCTTCTGCCTCCTACTAGTGTGTGATCTTCAGCAAGCCATATAACCTCTCTGACTCTGTTTCCTCAGCCTAAAAATGGATCTAACATTGCCTACTTCATAAAGATACTACTAGATTAAATAAGATTGCATCTAAGTGCATCAGTTATCAAGAACGTAAAAATTCAACTCACAAATGGAAATAAATATTTGCAACTCATATATCTGTTAAGGAACTAGTATCCAGAATATAGAATAACCCTTATAACAATAATGGACAAACAATTCAATTTAAGAATGGGCAAAGGATTTCAATAGACATTTCTCCAAGTAAGATATATAAATGGTCAATAAGCGCAAGAAAAAATGCTCAAAATCATTAGTCATTAATGAAATGCAAATCAAAACTATGAGATGCCACTTAAAACCCACTAAGATAGCCATAATCAAAAAAAAAAAAAGAAGACCCAGGCATGGTGGCTCATGCTTGTAATCCCAGCACTTTGGGAGGTTGAGGCAGGAGGATCACTCGAGCCAGGAGTTTGAGACCACCCCGGGCAACATATAAGACCCCCCATCTCTAAAAAAAGGAAGAAAACTAGCAAGTGTTGGTGAGGATATGAAGTAATTTTAACCTTCCTACATTTCTAATGGAAATATAAAATGATGCAGCCACTGTGGACAACAGTCTGGCTGTTCCCCACAAACTTGAACATAGAGCTACCATGTGATACAGCAATTTCACTCATAGGTATATACTCAAGAGAAATTAAAACATGTTCACACAAAAACTTGTACATCAATGTTCATAGCAGCATTACTTGTAATAGCCAAAAATGGAAGGAACATAGATGTTCATCAACTGATGAATGGATAACTAATATGTGGTCTTCATACAATGAAATGCTATTCAGTCATTAAAAGGAAAGAAGTATTAATATATGCTACAACATGGATGAACCTTGAGGACATTATGCCAAGTGAAATAAGGCAATCATGAAAGGACAAATACTATGTGATCCCACTGACATGACGTACTTATGGTAGTCAAACTCATAGATAGAGGAAGTAGAATCGTGGTTGCCAGGGGTTGAGAGGAAAGTGGTATGGGGGGTGACTGCTAACAGGTACAGATTTCTTTTTGGGGTGATAAAAATGTTCTGGAATTAGATAGTAGTGATTGTTGTACAACTTTGTGAATATACCCAAAAGCATTAAATAGCACTTTTTAAATGGTGAATTTCATGGTATGTGAATTATATCTCTAAAAATAAAAAAGGGGGAGAAGTATGTCAAACAGTGCAATTTGCTAAGTTCCCTTTGTCTCCCATTAAAAATGGTGAAGCTGGAATTCACGATCAAGTCATTCTGATACAAACAGAGTGCTTTTCAAAGCCCCCACTAATCTTGTCTCTCTCATGTGCTGAAGCAGAGGTCTACTGGAACACAGAAACAATGAAACAAGTTTTTCTGATGGTTCTGACATTTTGACTAAAAGGCTTTATTCAGTTGTATGATCAGTTAATGGCAATTAAAGAAAAATATTATTCATATTCTTTGTTCAACTAAATGCATCTGTTGAGACTGTGTTAATAAACCCAGCCAAACAAATGAAAGACTATACACAGATAACTTAGGGGAGAAAGTAAAAGAAACAGGAACAGCATGGAGAATATTAACACTGTTTTTGCCCAAACAAAACACTGCAAACATTGTTTTTGCCAAAGAGATTATGAAAGGAGTTAATAAAAGCAAATTAAACTTGAGGGAAATTTGGATTGGCAAATAAGTCTTTAGCTGGAGACTGTGCATTAAAGCAAGGATTAAAGGAAACAGCAAATATTTCTGAAATGCCAGCCATGATGTAATGAATCAGATACACATGGTTTCACAACTCTCCTCTGTCACTTCCTCAGCCAAGTAACCCTAGCCAATTTATTTCATTTCTCTAATCACCTTTTTTCTTTTTGTGTAAAATACAAACAAAAAAATTTTCTCATAAGGTTCTTATTGATTATAAGGGTAGCAAGAAGGTACACTAAATGACAGCTCTGATTATTGGTTATTACACAGGCCAGGAATGATGGTACACAACATTTGGGTGGGGGTCAAATGACAGTACCCACTTTGAAGGGAGAGTAAAGTTTCCTGACGTCAAACACAGGCCACTGAATATAGACAGATCATCCCCTAAATGCTCTATTGATTGGGTCTTTTTTTTTTAACTTGAAATTTTAAAGGCTCACAAAGAGGCATCTTTGTTTACCATTGGTGGAAAAAAATATAATATATATTTTTAAAAAGGGATTTATTTTCAGAAAAGCAGACTAAGCTGACACAGCAAATTTTTCCTTCCAACCTCAAACAATTAGAAATATTTTTAAAATTTCTCTCTCATGAAGATTCCAGGCAAAGACAGTTTTACAAAGAAATTTAACAAATGTTCAAAGAACATTTAAATTATATTTATGTAAATTGTTTCAAATAACAGAAAAAAAGGCAACTGCCCAACTCAGTTTATGAGACTAGAACTTCTTTTTTTCCATCAAAACTAAAAAGGGATAGTATAAGCAAATAGAATTATTAACCGATTTAATTTATAAACATGGATGTAGAATTCCCAAGTAAAATACCCATTAGTTGAGTCCAGCCGTATTTTAAATATAATAAATCATGTCTAGGTAGGGTTTGTCCCAACATTGTTTCAAAGTCATAATATTAAAAAAATCACCATGCTAATTTGCTACCCTTATATATAATCAATTGTGAAAAACATGGTGATCTCAATGCACGCAGAAAAATCATTAGATATTCTTAATAACACATTTTACTATTAAAAGTTTTTACCAAACAAGGAATAGCAAGAACAATTTTTCTTCTGATAAATCCTACAGTAAATGTAATATTTAATGATGAAACTTTAGGAGCATTCCCATTATAGATACAAGATGAAGACTCCCATTTTAACTTCTGTCATTATTTTACTGAAGATCTTAACCAATGGAATAAGATATGGAAAATAATTGGTATATATAAATATTAGAAAGTTTTGTCATTTGCTAATAAGTTGTGTATACAGAAAATCCCCCCACAAAAAAATCAAACTACCAGAACATATAAGATGATTCAGCATGGTTATTGGATATAGAGTCAACTACAAAAATCAATAAATATTTGTATATTGTTAATAATTAAAGAATTAACATAAAAGGAAAATTGCTACCATCACAGCAATAATAAAACTGTATAAGTCAAAAAATGGACCGAATAATACATGTTGAGTATTTTGTGGAGAAAATTTTGAAATGTTGGTGAAAGTCACAGAAAAGATCTAAGCAAATGATGGAGAGATAATCACATTTGTAGTTGGGAACATTAAATATATTAGATGTAAAAATTTCCTCTGAATTAATCTGCAAAATTCAAGACCATTACAATCAAATCAAACAGAATTCCTGTAAGAGTATAACAATGTGGTGTATGGCATTAGTGTATGGATAGACAAACACATCAATGAAGAGTACAGAGAATCTAGAAACAGACTAAAGCATTTGACAACTCAGAATATAAGAAACAAGATATCACGAATCTGAAGGAAAAGCAAAATTATTTAATAGTGTTTCCACTTGAAAAAAAAACATAAAATCAAAATTATTTCACATTATATATAAAAATTCCTGATAATTTAGAGACCTAATGTTAAGAAAAAATAATATTTAGATCTATTTGAAGAACTTTGGGAGAAAGTCATTTGACACTGGGATTGGAAATCTCGTTTAAGTTGTTGGAATTAATTTTGTTGGTTTTGAGAAGTTTTCTTGGCTGTAGGACTCATGGCAACTTGTTTCTTCAAACTCAGCCAGTAATAAAGAAGTCAAAACTAAGTGTCATATGATATAACATAATCATAGGAGTGCCAACTCATCACCTCAGCCATATGGGTAGTATAATCATAGGCGTGACATATTCCACCCTCTTTGGGATATTACTTAGAAGCATCCTACAGGTCCTGCTCACACTTGAGGGTAGGGATTATGCAAGGGCATGAACACTGGGAGATGAGGGTCACAGGTCTATGTTCAAGTCTGTTCGTCACACTGAAATTCTTTGATGTTACCTAAGGTCATAGGAATGTTTAGAATGTCAGAATGTGCCTTACTAAGTTTTATAGTACCTTTGGTTCTGTTTGAGGCGTGAAAATAGGCCTTTCCTTTTCTTTCCCAAATTCAACTTCTTGACTCCTAAATAACAGAAAGGTTTTCCCCATTCCTCTCTACAAGGATTACTCCTTTTTGCTTCCTGATACCAAGATGAGTTGAAGTGTTAAAACCTATTAACGGCACCATTACTAGCGCATAGCTGGAAATTAAGATGACTGATTAAAAAGAGAGGAAAAATATTTAATGAGAAGTGAAATAAACCAGCCCACTCAATCTATCAATGTTCCAGGCTTTATTTTTCTTTCTTACAGATCTTCCAAATTACAGTTCCCAAAATGTCCTAACTTCAAGCTCCAAATGTAGCATGAGATTCCCTGGAAGCAAAAACACTGCTCAACATTCTGGACATCTGTACTTACACGGTTACTATTTTCCACAAGAGGGCAAAGAAAATTTTTAGCTTTTTGGAATTCTATAAATAAGGCCAAACAAAGAATTCACTTTTGATTCTAAATTAAGAAAGCAAAATCTCGTTCGTAATGCCAGAATATAGATCATAATCTTTATTAATAACAAAGTAGCAATACTAACAACTACTATTTAAGTACTTTCTGCATCCCAGACTGCACAAAAATTTTACAACCATTGTTTCATTTAGTCCTCATAACAAAACCTGGGTTAAGCATTTTTATCCCAGTTTTCCAGATAAAGGTACTGAGGCATAGTGTGGCTATAATACTTGCCCAAATCCCAGTGGCTGGTTAGTAGCACAGCAGAGATTTAAATATGGGTTAATCTTCAAAGTCTTACATCTTAGCCTCTCTGTAATACCACATGTCACAAAGAAATTATATTTATGTATTAGTGGAAAGATGGCACTCTTAACACACAGGTTGTAAAGAACATACATAATTCATTCATTTAACAGAAAAGAAAAATATCACTGGGCCAGTTTTTAAATCTGCCACTGCTAGCCGTGTGGCCCTTAGCAATTAACTTCTTTGAGTTTTCTTTCTCTCTCTCTCTCTCTCTCTCTCTCTCTCTCTCTTTAGAGGCAGAGTCTCACCATGATGCCAAGACTGGACTTAGACTTCAACACTTGGGCTCAAGTTATCCTTCAGTCTCAGCTTCCTAAGTGGCTGAGACTAAAGATACATAGCACTGAGACCAGGTTTTTCACTCTGAAATTTTTTCTCATAGGTAAGATGGTTATTCCATCCTATTTCTCTCACAGGATTGTGAGAGGTATCAAAAGTGACATATACTTTTGAAAGTATTACATAAGTAAATATAAATATGAATATAAGGAATTAATATACTCCTTGTGTGAGAATATGAAAAATTCACAACTGAATAAGAGGGAGCCAGGGCTCAATAACCCCAGTCTAGAATACAGGAGACACAATATGTCTTTGAGTAAAAAGCACCTAAATTACTTAATGTGCTCACCCCAAACAAATGCGTTTCAAAACAACATTATATAGGCATACCACTCATCCACTCTGGCAAATATTCCCGAACAATTCCTAAACAGCATTCATTTTCTCAAATTTGGTGGACCCAAAACTCTTCTCAACATGACACACAAAGATGGAGGAGAATATAGGGAAGCATCACATAACATTAAAAAGAATACTTTTGAAATCCAAGAGATTCATTCCTTTAGTTGTAAAATAGGGATAGTAATATATACCTTGCCAAGATTTTGAAAAAATTCCAGATGTCTGTATTCAGTGAAGGCAGACTTGCTCATTTAAAGTAATCTCAGATGTCCAGATTACTAAAATCACTGGAAAACATATAAAAGACATGTTCTGAAGGACATCTTCTAAAGAACCAACAGTATCATAAAGAATTATTTTTAAAGAGCCAAGATTCAAGAGAACATAGAAATCTAGAAAGTTGAGCCCAGCATTTGAACTTGCCCAGGGGGCATTTTTCTACCTTGAAGAGACAGCTGATAGGATGAACAGCACTTTTGACAGCTCTTCAGCATTAGGGGGACAAACATGTGATCCAAAGTCCGCCAAGAGTGGAGAATCTAGTAAGCCACCTATGCTTAGGATATGTGCCCCAAAGAGTTACATCCTAGGAGTAAGGGGAAACCAGAAATAAAGCAGTATCCCATGGACTACAGTCTGTATTCAAGATGTCCAGGTGGCCTAGAAAATTTCTAGCCCAGACACAAGTTGGAGACTCCAGATTGTGGATGATCAGAGGCACCTGGCAAAGCAAATGAAAATCCTTTCAGGAGCAAAATAACATCATCCCAGCCTCATATCATTTTACTAACATATTTTCAAATGCAATGTCCAGCACACAATAAAAGCAGACCAGGCAGTCAAAGAGCTGTTGATATGAATCAGGACCAACACAAATAACAAACAAGAAAACATTTAGAGGTACTCCAAATAGTTAATATTACCAGACCCAGAGTGTGAACACCCATGATGATAATACTTACGAAGAAAAATATGTGAACTTAAAATTTTTATCAAAGAACTATCAACTACCAACAAAATTTCCAATTTGATCTACAAAAATCCACAAATGGAAAGGCAATCAATGACATTAAAACATCACTAGTTCTGTTTAACAGCAAATTAGTAAAATAATTTTAAGAATTTTCTCAAATAGAGAATTGGTTAATAGGTCAGAAGACATTATTTAGAATTATGTAGGGAAAGACAACAGTATTGAAATACAGAAGAAAGTGTAAGATATATAAATAACATAATGAGAAGACCTAACATGGTATATTTATTGAAGTTCCAGAAGAAGCAGAGAAAGAGAGTATCAAGTAGAAGAAATATTTGAAAAGATAATGGCTGAGGATTTTCTAAAACTGAAGAAAGAGATCAATCTACAGATTTAAGCACCCCAATGAACTTCTGGTTTGTTTGGGATATACAGTCATAAAAACTGCAAATTAATAACTTTTCTTTAAACTTTCAGAGAGCTGAAATCATGAAGCAGCAATAAGCCCAAAATCAAAGGACAGAGGTGTATGCAGAGGAGGACAGGCTGCTAATATGTGCTTACCTGGAACGGACACAGTCAGACACCAATAAACTAATTTAGCTGGAATTGTTCATAAATTGGTAAAGGCCAAGTGTGGGCTTGCAAGAATGTGTAGAGCCCCAGCTGCAAATATAGGAGGAATCTGCATGATCCACTTGTAGTTTTTTCTCCACAGACTTCCCAGAAAAGATTGGTTACATTAAAGCCAAAAATGTAACCCACAAAGAATATATACCTAATAATATGGTGTCAGAATATTTCAGGTAAAAATTGGCCAGGTGCAGTGGCTCATGCCTGTAATTCCAGTACTTTGGGAGGCCAAGGCAGGCAGAGCACCTGAGGTCAGGATTTCGAGACCAGCCTGGCCAACATGGTGAAACCCTCTCTCTATTAAAAATACAAAAATTATCTGGGCATGGTGGCTACTGTAATCCCAGCCACTCAGGAGGCTGAGGCACAAGAATCACTGGAACCTGGGAGGCAAAGGTTGCAGTGAGCTGAGATCGTGCCATTGCTTTCCAGCCTGGGTGATAAGAGCAAAATTCTGTCTCAAAAAAAAAAAAAAAAAAAAAAAGTCAATATAATTATAAGGAGAAATAGACCAATTGACACTCAGAGTAAATTTAAATACACCTCTCTCAGTAATTGACAAAACAAGTAGACAAAAAGTCTGTGAAGATACAGAAAATTTGAGCAGCAGAAGAAGTTATCATTGTCCAAAGAACATATGTAGAATACTGTACTCAACAACTATAGACCATATACTCTTTTCAAGCACACATGGAACATTTACAAAAACCAAACATGTCTGGCCATAAAGGTAGCACACATTTTAGCAGATTGAAAGTACACAGAATGTTTTTCTGACTCCATTTCAATTATGCAAGGAGCAAAAGTCACTAGAAAACATCATGTTTGTAAATTAAGAAATAAACTTTAAACAATAGACGGATTAAAGAAGACATCAAAATAGAAATTGGAAAATATATTGACTGAATAATAATTGAAATGCTACTTACCAAAATATTTGAGATTCAGCCAAAGATGTATTTAGAGGGAGAATTATAGCTTTCATACATACATTACCAAAAAAAACACAAACCGATGAGATAAGCATCCATCATGAGAGGCTGGATCAACAAAAGCAATATAAGTGCCAAATGCCTACCTCAAAGAGTTAGAAAGATCTCAAACTAATGATCTAACATCACACCTATAGGAACTAGAAAAGCAAGAAATAAACCCCAAAGATGGCAGAAGAAAAGAAATAACTAAAGTTAGAGCAAAATTGAACAGAATTGATACCTAAAAACCCATATCAAGAATCAATAAAACCCAAAGTAGTTTCTTTTTTTTTGAAAGGGTAAACAAGATTAATAGATTGCTATGTAAATGAACAGGGAGAGAGAGAGAGAGAGAAGATCCAAATAAGCACAAGCAGAAATTACAAAGGTAACAATGCAACTGTTCTTGCAGAAATACAAAAGATCCTCAGAGACTATTACAAACACTTCTACGAACACAAACTAGAAAATCTAGGAAAAATGGATAAATTCCTGGAAACACGCAACCTCCCAAGATTTAATCAGGAAGGAATTGAAACACTGAATAGACAAATACTGAGTTCTGAAAAAAAGCCCTGGACCAGGTAGATTTACAGCTGCATTCCACCAGACTTACAAATAACAGCTGGTATCAATTCTACTGAAACTATTTCCAAAATAGGAGGAGGAGGGACCCCTCTCTAACTCATTCTACAAAGCCAGCAAAGACACAATGAAAAAAGAAAAATACAAGCCAATATCCTTATGAACACAGATGCAAAAATTCTCAACAAACCAAATCCAGCAGCACATCAAAAAGTCAAATCAATGCAAACATGCAAATTAATGAACATGATTCTCCACATAAACAGAATTAAAAACAAAAACCATATAAACATCTCAATAGTTGTAGTAAAAGCCTTCACTAAAATCAAGCATCTCTTCATGATAAACCCTCAACAAATTAGAGATTGATGGTATACACCTCCAAATAATGAGATCCGGGCCGGGCACGGCAGCTCACCCTGTAATCCCAGCACTTTGGGAGGCTGAGGCAGGTGGATCACGAGGTCAGGAGATGGAGATCATCCTGGCTAACACGGTGAAACCCCGTCTCTACTAAAAATACAAAAACAAAATTAGCTGGGCATGGTGGCAGACACCTGTAGTCCCAGCTACTCGGGAGGCTGAGGGAGGAGAATGGTGTGAACCTGGCAGGCAGAGCTTGCAGTGAGCCGAGATTGCACCACTGCACTCCAGCCTGGGCGACAGAGTGAGACTCCACCTCAAAAATAAAAATAAATAAATAAATAAATAAATAAATAAATAAATAAAAATAATAAATAATAAGATCCATCTGTGACAAACCCACAGCCAACACCATCCTGAATGGGAAAAAGCTGGAAGCATTCTTTTTGAGAACTGGGAAAAAACAAGGATGCCCACTCTCACCACTTTAATTCAATATAGTACTGGAAGTCCTAGCCAGAGCAATCAGGCAAGAGAAAGAAATAAAAGCCATCCAAATAGGAAGAGAGGTCAAATGATCTCTCTTTGCTGATGACACAATTCTATACCTATAAGATCCTAGAAACTCTGTCAAGACTCCTGGAACTGACTTCAGTGAAGTTTCAGAATACAAAATCAGTGTACAAAAATTAGCAGCATTTCTATATACCAATAATGTCAGCTGAGAGCCAAATCAAGGACACAATTTCATTCACAATAGCCACATGCCAAAATAAAATACCTAGAAATACAAGATCTCTACAAGGAGAACTACAAAATACTACTGAAAGAAATCATGGATCACACAAATGGAAAAGCATTCCATGCTCATGGATAGGAAAAATCAATATCACTAAAATGGCCATACTACCCAAAGCAATTCACAGATGCAACGCTATTCCTATCAATATACCAATGACATTTTTCACATAAATAGAAAAAAAATTTCTACAATTCATACAGAACCAAAAAAGAGCTTGAATAGCTAAAGCAATCCTAAGCAAAAACAACAAAGCCAGAGACATCACATTAACCTACTTCAAACCAAACAATAATGCTACAGTAACCAAAACAGCACGGTACTGGTACAAAAAGACAGACCAATGGAACAGAATAGAGAACCCAAAAATAAAGCCACACAGCTATAGCCATCTGATCTTCAACAAAGTCAACAAAAATAACCAGTGGGGAAAGGACTCCCTATTTAATAGATGGTACTGGGATAGATGGTTAGCCATATGCAGAAGATTGAAACTGGATCTCTACCTTTCGCCATATAGAAAAATTAACTCAAGATAGCTCAAAGATTTAGAGGTAAGACCTCAAACTCTAAGAATCCTAGAAGAAAACCAAGGAGATACCATTCTGGACATTGGTCTTGGGAAAGAATTTATGATTAAGACCTCAAAAGCAATTGCAACAGATACAAAAATTGACAAGTAGGATCTAACTAAAATAATGGGCCTCTGCACAGTAAAATAAGCTATCAACAGAGTAAACAGCCTACAGAATGGGGAAAATGCTCTCAAACTATGTATCTGAAAAAGGTCTAATATCCAGAGTCTATAAGGAACTTAAATAATTCAACAAGCAAAAAACAACCACATTAAAAAGTGGGCAAAAGACATGGACATTTTTCAAAAGAAGACACTCAAATAGCCAGCAAACATGTAAAAAAATGCTGAACATTACTAATAATCATGGAAATGCAAATCACAACCACAATATGATACCACCTCACAGCATTCAGAATGTTAAAAAGTCAAAAAACAACAGATGCTGTCAAGGCTGTGGAGAAAAGGGAATGCTTACACACTGTTGGTGGCAGTAAATGAGTACAGCCACTGTGGAAAGCAGCTTGGAGATTTCTCAAAGAACTCAAAACAGAACTACCATTTGGTTCAGCAATTACATTACTGGGTATATACTCAAAAGAAAATAAATTGTTCTATCAGAAAGACACGTGCACTACATTCATCATCGCACTATTCATAATAGTGAAGACATGGAATCGACCTAGGTACCCATCAGTGGAGGACTGGATAAACAAAATATGGTACATATACACCATGGACTACTACTATGCAGCCATAAAAAGGAATAAAATCATGTCCTTTGTTGCAACATGGATGCAGCTGAATGCCATTATCCTAAGCAAATTAACATAGGAACAGAAAACCAAATACCACATGTTCTCACTTATAAGTGGGAGTTAAATATTGGGTATTCATGGATATTAAGATGTCAACAATGGATACTGGGAACTATTAAAGGGGTGAACAAGGGACAAGGACAAAAGTTAAAAAACTAACTGTTGGGCTGGGTGCGGTGGCTTATGCCTGTAATCCCAGCACTTTGGGAGGCCGAAGTGGGCGGATCACAAGGTCAGGAGTTCAAGACCATCCTGGCTAACATGGTGAAACACTGTCTCTACTGAAAATACAAAAACAAAATTAGCTGGGCATGGTGGCGGGAGCCTGTAGTCCCAGCTACTCAGGAGGCTGAGGCAGAATGGTGTGAACCCGGGAGGTGGAGTTTGCAGTGAACTGAGATCGCGCCACTGCACTCCAGCCTGGGTGACAGAGCGAGACTCCGTCTCAAAAAAAAAAAAAAAAAAAAAGCAAAAAAACTAATTGTTGGATACTGTGCTCACTTCCTGGGTGATGAGTTCAGTCATACTCCAAACCTCTGCATCACACAGTATACTCATGTTACAAACCTGCACATGTACCCCCAAATCTAAAATAAAAAATGAAATTATAAAAAAAAGAAAAGCAGTATAAACCCTAAGAGAAGGAAAAATTTTTAAATAATAGCAAAATCAATGAAATAAACATTCAGTAAAGAAGATCAACAAAGACATGTTATTCTTCTGAAAAAAGTAATAAAACTGATGTCTTTGATGAGACGATTAAGGAAGAAAAAGAGAAAAACGATTACAAAATATCAGGAATAAAAAAGAGCATATACCTGCATATCTGACAATTAAAAAGACAAGTATATTTTGAGTAACTTAAGACAATAAATTTGAAAATTGTGGTGCAATGGTGTTGTTGTTGTTGTTGATTTTATTTGGTCTTGAGGTCTGTCTCTGGAGAGTGGGTATAAGCTGTAGCCCTTCCTGACAGGGCCCAAGGGGATGTGTCTGTGAATGTTTACACTGTGCCTTTCATGGGATACTTCTTTATCTGGGCACATGGCCTAAAGCCTAAGTGTTCAATCCATGACCAGGTGTCCCTCTCAGAGGAAACTTGTTTATTCTGGCAGATACCTCTGTAGTTCTTGTCTAACTTGTGCCCAGTTTATTCCTACCAAGTAGCTACTCTCCAGGGGAGCCTTGACTGAGAAAGAAGTTAGGTGAGTTGTATTAGTCAGGTGACACAGAGGAGGCAACTCAGCAAAACACATGAAATAACCAAAGCAGTTTATTATTTACACATCATGAGAAAAGAGGGCAGAATACCTCATAGGGCCAATAAGAAGGAGAGAGCCAACATAAAATTATAGATACTCACTGAAAATTGATAAATTATTTTAAAATACAAGTTACAAAACACTAATTCTTAAATAATTAAAAACCTGAATAGTTCTATAACTATTAAATAGATTGAATCCAGAATTTAAAAACCTACTTGTAAAGATTTCTACAAACATTTGAGGAAATATAACACTAATCTTTCACCAACCCTTCCAAAAAATAGATAAAAAGGGAAAATCCCCAAGCGCATTTGATTATATCTTAATACAAAAATCTGTCTAGGACAATATGAAAGGCAAATTAAAACAATATTTATACTTACCTTACTCATAAACAAAAATATATTTTTAAACTATACACTAAGAAATATATGAAAAGGGTAAAAGTTATCATCAAATTTTGAGGCCTATTTCAGTAACACAAGTTGGGTTTAATTTAAAAAAAAATCTAATTTTAATTCTGATAAATATACCAGGATTTTTGTAAAATGTTAACATTACAGGAAGCTGGTGAAGGCATATGGGAACATTCTGAACCATCTTTTCAACTCTTCTGTAAATCTAAAATTATTCTAAAGTACAAAGCAAAAAATGTATATAATTTATTACATTTACAGGATGGGGAAAATACATAAATATTTTACAACTTGTGGAAAAGGGATTTAATAAAATTCACAATTCATTATTTTTAAAACTTCTAGCAAATTAAGAATAGAATTGTAATTTCCTTTATCTAAGAAAGAATATCTTTATGAAGTCTTATATCAACTTAAAAGTAAAACATTAAAACTCTTCCATTGAGACTGAGAGTACAGCAAGAATGCAAGCTGTCATCCTTCTATTCCAATTTGTGCAAGTGATCCTAGCCAGTACAGCAAGGTAAGAAAGAGATATAAATCATGCAGAGATTAGAAAGGAGGAAACAAAACTGTCATTAATCTTGAATGCTATATTTATGTATGTAGGAAATTTAAAATTATCTATACATAAAGTATTACAAGAAACAGTGAGTTTTGCAATATTAATGGATATTAATATATCAATTTTTTTTTTTTTTTGAGACGGAGTCTCGCTCTGTCACCCAGGCTGGAGTGCAGTGGCGCGATCTCGGCTCACTGCAAGCTGCGCCTCCCGGGTTCACACCATTCTCCTGCCTCAGCCTCCTGAGTAGCTGGGATTACAGGTGCCCGCTGCCACACCTGCCTAATTTTGTTTTTGTATTTTTAGTGGAGACGGGGTTTCACTGTGTTAGCCAGGATGGTCTCGATCTCCTGACCTCATGATCCACCCACCTCGGCCTCCCAAAGTGCTGGGATTACAGGCGTGAGCCACTGCGCCCGGACTAATATATCAATTTTTTCTATACACCAGAAAAAGTTAGAAAATTTTTTAAAACAAAAATAAATATCTAAAAATATATCTAACAAAAATATGCAAGACTTCTCTGCAGAAAAGTTAGAGAACATTACTTAGAGCATTTAAAGAAGGATAAACTATGTTCATGAAAATCTCAATGTTGTAAAGATAGCACTTTTCAATAAATATATCTACAGATTCAAAGTAATTTTAATCAAAATCTGAAAGGTTTGGTTTGTGAGATTTGATAAGCTGATTCTAGAAGGTACATAGAAATGCAAAGGACCAACATTAGCCAAAACACTCTTGAAAAAGGGCAAAGTCAAAAAACTTGCACCACTGGGTATAAAAACTTAGTACGGAGCTACAATTTTCAATAAAGTATGGTATTGG
The DNA here is from genome assembly GCF_000001405.40 of Homo sapiens. Taxonomy (NCBI): domain Eukaryota; kingdom Metazoa; phylum Chordata; class Mammalia; order Primates; family Hominidae; genus Homo; species Homo sapiens. Next base: position 155,544,300 of record NC_000005.10, on the reverse strand, counting down.
CTCAAACATAAATAAATAGAGCAATGAACTAAAATAATGTCTTATAAACCACATCAAAATCCTCTCAGAGCCATCTTTTACTTTAGCCTGCTACAGCAACAGCCATGTTGGCCTTGATCAGCATCACACACGTGCAACCACAGTACATCTAGCTGTTGATCCAAACTGCATACCTTTTTCTTCCTGCCCAGGGGCTTCTCTAATGCCAAGACATAGATTGTCCACGCTTAGCACTCAAACATGTATAACCTGGATGTATAAAGGAATTAACACTCCTAGAGCCAGACTTGGCTAGTGGGAGATTCAATGGAAAAATGTTTTTTCCTTTCATCCCAGGTGGAGAGTTCTGATTTGAATTTTGTGCAGCTCCTTAAAAAATTTGAACACAAGTGACCTATAGCAGTAGCCAGTTGGATTACATATCTTTGTATTGGCTTTTTCTCTGTTTTCTTATTTCATTACTGGTCTTATACTTCTGCTACTTTGAATCATGTTGCCAAATAACCTCTAGGCAAGCCTTTGCCTCAGGGATCTGCTTTCAGGAAAACTAAGGTTAAAACAGTGGCACTGTTGAGTAAGAGGGTAATGAAGGCTTTTGCAATATATGGTTCTGGAACAATTGGATATCCATATAGAAATAATGAAACATGACCTCAACTTATACCTCATCTAAAAAAATCAATTTTAGATGGATTGTAGATCTAAATGTGAGAGGCAAAACAATAAAACCTTGAGAAGACAATGTAAGAGGTCAATCCTCATGACCTCGGGGTAGAGAAGACTTTTTAAAGAGAGAAGCACATCACTGCCATAAAACAAAAGTTCGATAAATTTGACTAAATCAAAATTAAAAGCATTCATTCATCAAAAGACTTCATTCAGAGAATGAAAATGCAAGTCACAGAGTAGGACAAGATATTTGCAACACCTATAACCAATAAAGAGCTTGTGTCTAGAATACAAAAGTAAGTCCTATAAATCAATAAGAATAAAAAAACACAGAAAACCTAGTAGTAAAATCAAGAAGAGAATTGAGAAGTCATGTTACCAAAATAGACATCCAAATGGCTACCAGACATACGAAAATGAGTTCATTAGCCACCAGGGGAATGCCAATTAAAACCACAGAAAGATATCACTATACATACCACTGAACTGGCTAGATTTCTTAAACTGAGAATTCCAACTGCTGGCAAGGATGTTGAACAAGGGAACTCTCAAAATTCTGCTGGTGGGGATATAAATTGACACGAACCCTTCAGAAAATTGGGCATTATCTACTTAAATTGAATAACACGCATAACCTGTGACCTAGCAATTCCACTCCTAGAAGTATACCCATCAGAAATGCATATTCATATGCCTCAAAGGAAATGAACAAGAATGTTCACAGCAGCATTATTTTAACAGGCCAAAATCAGAAACAGCCCAAAAGTTTATCAACAATAGGTTAGACAAATCAATCACTGTGTATTCACACAATGGAAAATAGCAACAAAAATGAAAGCACTACAGCTATATACAATAGCATGAGTGATTGTCACAAACATGATGCTGTATAAGAAGTAAGACACAAGGGTCAGGATATGTCTGGCCATTTAAAATTCCCAAACACCTAAAACCAAATCATACTGTTTACAGTTATATACTCTTATGTTAAAAAATACAAAGAAAAGCAAGAAAGTGATTATCATAAAGTGAGAATACTGTTTACCTTTAAGGGACAAAAGAAGTTATCTCCGAATCAGATAATTTTGGGGGTTCATGGTTACTGGCAATGCTGTTTCTTGATCTGGATTATGGCTACACAGATATTCACTTTATAGTACAATAGTCCCTTCCTATCCCTTGGGGTTTTGTTCCAAGGGCTCCAGTGGCTGCCTAATACCTCAGACAGTACTGAATCCTATATATATACACACATATATATATACACATACACACATGCTATCTTTTTTCCTATGCACCCATAATTATGATAAAGTTTAATTTGTAAATCAGGTACAGTAAGAGATCAACAATAACTACTAATAAAATAATTCTAACAACATACTGTCATCAAGGTTATGTGAATGTGGTCTCTCTCTCTTTCTCTTTATGAAAATAACTTCTTATACTATACTCACCCTTCTTGCGATCTGTCAATCTGATAACTGAGATGGCTACTCAGTAGGTAATGGGTAGGTAGTGTAAAACACATGGAGTTGCTGAATAAAGGGATGATTTGAAGCAGGATATTGTCCTGACCCCTTCACCGGCAGGAACTGGAGTACATGGGAGCTGGAACTAGCTGGCTGCTTCCGTGCAGGCCAGAGTGGAACTCCACTCACTCACTGCTCCACCCCTCATGGGACAGAGAGGGCAGGTGAGCAAGTGCAGGAGCCAGGGTGAGTGTTTTTGGGCACCAGCAGGAGCGAAGCTCAGTGGAAGGTCAGTGTGACAGCCTTTTGCACCCACACTCATGGCACCCAAGTTCTTGTCCGGCATCCAGGAGGAATGAGGTCACATGAATGAATTGAAGATGGTAAATGTGGGTGATTTTATGGCCAATGAAACTGGTTATTGGCAGGAAGGGGAGCTGAAAAGGGGATGGAGCTGGAAGGTAATCTTCCCCTGAAGTCCAGCCATCCCCAGCCGGACTCCTCTCCAAAGCTACGCCATGAAGCTGTCCCTCTAAAGTCAAGCCATTTCTCTCCGATATTCAACCGTAGTCTTGTAGTCTCTGACTTCCAGCAGCTCCTCCTCTCTGCCAGTTGAATTCTGGGATTTTTATAGACACAGGATGAGGGGGTGAGGTGGGCTATGGGTGGTTTTGGAAAAGGCAATATTCAAGCAAGAAAACAGGGATGTAAGTTCTCACTTTGAGCCATGATTCCAGGCATTTCAGCTTAAGGGTGGGTCCCTCACCAGGCACCCGTCCTCTTCTGCCTAGAATTTCCCTGCCTCCTGTTCCTATCAATTTCGTCATGTGAGACTTCATCACACTACTGAGAATGGTGTGCAATTTAAGACTTCTGAATTGATTATTTTTGTAATTTCCCATTTAATGTTTCAGACCACAGTGGACCGCCGGTAACTGTGAGAAAGCATCGGTAATGAAACCAATAAGGGAAGACTACTGTAATCCATTAAGCTGTGTGTGTGTGTGTGTTCTACTAAGTGTTTAATATTTCATAGTAGAAAAACTTTAAAAGAATGAGAGGGAGGCAGCACAGTCCTGACCCACACGGGCTTTCACTAAATTTTAACTCATTATCATTACAAAGATAAAGTATAATAAGAAGCCAAAAGCTAAGACATGAGACCTGGAGAGGTTTTAGTCATAAAATTGCTTCACGATTGCCCACAGAGCAGAGTTTTTCAAATTCCTTAGTATATTTGGAATTTGATGGTTAGGAATATGCAGCTTGGAATAGTCAAGTGAGTTTTCTAAGGCAGAAAGCTATGAAATTTATTTAACAGCACTTGAACTTGAATGTTCTCTTTTGAGTCCAGTACTCTTTCTCCCACCTCCAGGAAGCTGATCATAAGGAGGAATAAGAAACTCTGTTGAAAGTGACTGAGCATGTGGGAAACACTGGCACTGGCTTTGCCTATTCAATCTTAAGTGTTTAGATTTTGAATCCGTCTTTAATAACGTGTGTGTGGTTTTCTTTTGCTTGTTTGTTTACATAGAGACACTCTTGCTGAGGCCATTTGACTAAGTAGAAAGCAAAAATGGGAAAAAACTATAGTCACTTGCCACAAGTTTTTTGGTTTGTTTGTTTTTTGTTTTTTCTTGGGATAAAGGCTGCTTAAACTTGTGTTTGTACTAGAGTGAGGTCAAGTTGCATTCTCCATCTCTGTGTTTACCTCTTCTAACAACATCTATTGCTGCAATAATAGTTACCCTCCACAGCTCACTCTGAGAACTCACTCTGAGAGACTTCTTAGGAAACTGCTATACCTCACCTATGAATAAATTACCCATCATGAATGCACTTGAGCCCCAGAATACAATAATTTACCCTGACCCCATGAGATTACATCAGTATAACTACACGAATGCTAATTACACTACTCCATTATTTGCACACTGAATCAAGGGGCAATGTCCTGCCTTAAAGAGTTTAATGGCTCTAAAGCAGCAAGAAGCAGACTTCTTTGTCCCTCTCTGGCTTTACAGCAGCTGGTGGCCACTGTAGGAAAATGCAAATGCAAAATCAGGGTAGTTGAACCTTGGCTACGTTTGCATTTGCACCTGCTAATTAAACCAAACAAAAAATCTCAGCTTCCCTGATGAAAACCTTCTAACCTGGGGGTTCAGCTCAGACACAAGCCAATAGTACATTGTGTATCTCATTGAGAACAGCACTGTCCAAGCAAAATATAATGTGAGCCAGCATTAAGAGCCACATATGTGATTCTAAAAGTTCCAGTACCTTACAAAAATAAACAGGCAAAATTATTTTTAAGTTATATTTAGCTTAATACTGTAAAATATTATCATTTCAACATGTAACCAACATAAAAATTATTGAGATATTTATATTCCTTTTTCATATGAAATCTTCAAAATCCAGTGCATATTTTACACTTACAGCACATCTCAATTTGGACACATCAAGTTTCATCTACTCAAGAGCCACACATAACCAGGGGATACTGTACTGGACATTGCAGATCTAGAACTTCTTGGCATTTCTCACAAAGAAGCTTCTTTGAGCACAAATAAAACCTGAGATTTAAATTGGGCTATAAGTATAAAGTGCTTAGCATAACGCCTAAAACACGGTAAGCTCCAGTAAATGATAGCTATTATTATTAATATTATTGTCATTGATAGCTATTATTATTAATATTATTGTCATTGATTTGGGGTTAAATACTTCAGGCTTGTTTTAAAGAAGTCCTCGTTTGAATTTTTACACCCTTCTGTAGCCCATGTGTACAAAACATCAAAATATTTTTATACATAGCATTTGTAAATGCTATGTATATTTAGCTACATCTTGACATAGGCCAGTGTATCACAGACTTTAGTCATTTCTACCACACCTCTGAGTTTATGATATGTGCACATCATCTGTTCTATCATTTCACACTCATCTCCAAATTATCTTATTTCTTTAAATTGAATATTTGGAAATTTACACTAATCGTAAGAAGTCACAGCCCTAAAATCAGGAGTTTGATATGCTACATATATATTTTTCCTAATGTTGAAATAAATAAAATAAATAAATTTCCTATTTTTTTAAAAAGCTCCTTGTGCTCCTAAGGTATCATATATGCAACAACACTGTATCTAACGTAGAAAAAAAATTATATAATCAATATTATACAGTGTTCCATTCTGCTCTGCTAACTTCAAGCTTTGTGGCCTTGGCAAATTACTTAACCCCTCTAAGTATTAGTTGTCTTTTCTGTAAAATGAAAATAGCAACAGTATCTACTGCCTAGGGAGTTTGAGTATTAGAGACAATGCATACAAAATGTTCAGCACAGTGTCTGGTTTTTCTGAGTACCTTTATCAAGAAACGTCAGTGCTCTCTTTATTATGAGTGATTTATAGCGTGCAAAGCATTTCTTATGCATTATTTTCACAGGAATCCACTGAGGAAACCAAGGATCATTATTTCTACTTTATAGGTGAAGAAACCAAGGCCTAAGAACTTGCCCAGGGTTAATGGGTCAGTGTGCAGCGAAGTTGGGCTCACATTCAAGTCTTTCAAGCTATGTTCATTGCTACGTCCACTACACTGCATTTGCTGCAGCAGGACATGCGTCTACCTGTTTTTACCATTGCCACTTACTGCAAAGGGAATCTTCCCACTAGCAAAAAATTGGGTGGAGGAAGCTGAAAAGTCTTATCTTTTTACATAACCAGCAATATGTATTAATGGACCACCTAGTTAGTGAAAAGTTCTTATCACCTAGCAGGTGTGATTTCCTCTGCTCCCCTAACTGACCTCAACAAGACAGATCTCTGTGGAATTTATCCCCAGAGCTAACACTGATATGTACATTACAGTAAAGCCATCATTTTTACTTGGACTACCCATCACTAGGACAATTACAGCATCTGGACATTTTTCCAGCAATATGGTTCTGGTGCCTTAAAAAAAAAAAAAAAAAAGTATGTTGGGCTGGTAGGTGGGTGTGAGATGTTCTTCTGGAATTTAATTTTTGAGGTCTACATTATTTGTTTCATTCTGTGAAACTGTCAAGACATATAGCTTTGGTGTCTTTCATAGCGTAAGGGCTGATTTGGCCTTTTAACAGACCCAAGTAACCTATCAAGGCAAGTTTAAGTCAGAAAATCACACCAAAAAATAGTCATCCAGAGATAGGAAGTTAGAAAATGCTGTGGATCCTATTCACAAGGACTAAAGAACTGCCATTATCAGTGCCACTTTTTCTTCTGTTTTGTTTCTTTAGGAAGATTTATGTAGTTAAATAAAAATGGAATATGAATTACTACCAATCATAACTAGTATTTCCAGAAAAGACTATAATAGTCTATAATATAATATAATAGACTATAATAGTCTAAAAATATAAAATCTGTACCACATAATTTGTTTTAATTCTTAAAATTATTATACACATATTGACCATCTCCCCAAAAAAATTTAAGTTCTTTTTGGGCTATACATTTTAGGAAGGCATATTGTTGAGTGAAAAAAAAAAAGGAGTTGATTCCAAAATAGTTTTTGTTCCATGTGATTCTGTTTCTGTAAAACAACAACTACAACTTACATTTATATTTTACCAACATGTTTCTATCTATCTATAAGACATTACATCAGAAGGTTAACAATGTCTTACTGGGAGGAGGTAGATCATGCTTTGTGTGGTTTTTTAATGTAGCTTTGTATTCTAACTTAAACAATGAAATGTTACTGTAGACTGAATGTGTCTCTCTAATTCATATGCTGACGTTCTAACTCCCAATGTGATGGTATTAAAAGGCGGGCCTTTGGGTGGTAATTAGATCATGAGGGTGTAGCCCTCATGAGTGAGATTAGTGCCTTTACAACGGGATGAAGAGAGCAGAGGGCATGTATGCACTCTCATTTCCTCTCTCTCTCTCTCTCTCTCTCTCTCTCTCTCTCTCTCATTATCTGCGATGTTAACATACAATGAGAAAATAGCTATCTGCAAACCAAGAAGAGAACTCTGACCAGACACCAAATCTGTCAGTGCCTTGATCTTAGGCTTCCCAGTCCCAGAACTGCGAGAAATACATTTCTGTTGTTTAAGCCACCTAGTCTGTGGTATTCTCTCATAGTGGCCCAAACCTAAGACACATTTTCTATCAGTATGTTTTCCAAATCATTTAAAAATAACAACTCAGATCCATTTTGGTGGCCTGGTGACTTGTAGAAAGCCACCTCCTGCTGGAAAAGAAAAGAATGTGCTAAACATGCCATCAAACCCTGATGGATCATGTCTCTGGGATAAAGACATCTATGCAACTTTCCATCTTAAACAAGCCTCAGGAGAAACAAATAGGCTAGTTGGGGATTACTAACAAGCTTTGCACTGACCAGCAATTCCAGTGGCCAGACAGACGTCCCTCTCATGACCTAGGAATCAGGCAGATGTGGATTTTTAGGCTACTGTAGTCATATGGGAAGCTTTCCTTAGCTATTATAACGAGGATAACGCGTATCCATTTCCCATGGCTATGTGAGGATGAGATGCCTAGCATACTATCCAGAACAGAGTAGAGGTGCTCAATGAATAAGAACTGTTTGCACCCAGGCTCAGACCAAGTCCCTCTCCCACTCCCAGAGAGGAGGGAAGGAAAAGATGTTAATTTCAGATTCCCAAATTCCTTCCTTTATTATATATATATATATTTTGATGGAGTCTCACTCTGTCACCCAGGCTGGAGTGCAGTGGCACAATCTCAGCTCACTGCAACCTCCACCTCCTGGGCTCAAGCAATTATTCTGCCTCAGCCTCCCAAGTAGCTGGGACTACAGGCACACGCCACCACGCCCAGATGATTTTTGTATTTTTAGTAGAGATGGGGTTTCACCATATTGGCCAGGCTGGTCTAGAACTCCTGACCTCATGATCCACCCACCTCGGCCTCCCAAAGTGCCGGGATTACAGATGTGAGTCACCACGCCTGGCCCCTTCTTTCTTTTAAATCGGATCCTTCAGTGACTTAAAGAACAACTAGCTTTCACTCTTCCTCAGACAGCAACAAGCATATGGTCAGCAACCAGAGCCTTCCACAGCCTCCAGGTTTACAATGAAGTACACTAAGACTTTGAAACCTCTCCTTCTACCAGCGTGAAATTCTCTAGTATGACTGGGCAGCCCGGAGTTCCTGTTAGTATCTCATAGAGTGCAAATAAGAAAAGGAGGAATCTTTCAAGAAAAATAACTTAGTCTAAGCCATAAAGGTCAAGAACTAGAATGCTGCATTTGTTCTGTTTGCAGAAAGAAAATTAAAATTTGATAATATGGTTCAGAAACAAGCACTGAAAGTATCCATGGGGGAGAGGTTCTAGGACCTCCTTCGGATACCAAAATCTAAGGATGCACAAGTCCCTGACATAAAATGGCATAGTATTTACATACAGCCTACTGTGTATATCCTTTGGTATAATTTAAATCATTTCTAAATTTCTTATAATACCTAATACAATGTAAATGCTATGTAAATAGCTTTTATTACCATATTGTATAGAAAATAACAAGAAAAAAGTCTGTATATATTCAGTACAGATGCAATTTTTTACAAGTATTTTCCATACACTGTTGGTTGAATCCATGGATGCAGAACCCATGGATGCAGAAGGCCAACTGTAACTGACCTACAAAAAAGAAAAGTCTATATAATAATAACAGTTAAAGCTTACCAAGGCTAACAACCAAATTCACATAGGTAGGAAGGAGTTTGATTCCATATGCTTTCTTTTCTTATTACAGTTCTAAAATCCTCAAGTTTGAAATGAATGATAGAGGTCATTTAGTCAATTTCCTCATCACTAAGATGATACCAATAATAATAAATCAAGGAACTGTGCTCCAGTTTGTAAACTTCTCCATTAAAACATAATTAGGGTTACCAGATTTAGGAAATAAAAATACAAGATGCCCCACTAAATTTGAATTTTAGATAAACAAATAATTCTTACTATTAATATATGGGACATACTCTTTAAAAAATATTTGTTGTTTTTCTGAAATTCTAACTTACTGGGGCAGCCTACATTTCATCTGGCAATCATAAATATGATGTAAGCACAACATTCCACATATGATCTGACCAAAAGAATAGATTTTCCTGGCATGTTGAAAGGTAAAATTCAAGGCAAAGGGATGACATTTTACAGTTTTTAAACCATAAAGCACTTGTGAAGCACTTTAAACTTGACTAATAACTTCCTTTGATTTCAGTCCTCCCAAAATGACACTCAAAGAAATTATGCTCTTTGCTCAATGTCACACAGCTAGTAAGTTAAAAAATCTCGCATTTAAATCTAAATAATCGAACGCTGCTGCTACTCTTATTACTATTGCTAATAATGGGCAGCATGACTATAATTTATTAAGTGCTCACTATGTTGTCTGTCAGTTGCTGTGTTTACATTTTATAAATCATCGCTTCCTATAGATGAGGACAAACTTTCGCATAGAAAAGGTTTCACTGAATACTATTTAGAATCTTCTAAACAAATTTAGTCCTAATTTCGATATGATAATGAATAACTAAATTAAGGAAAAGCACATTTTACATAATTTAGTACAAAACTTTATAAATTCCTGGGAAACTACTTGGAGAGCCATTGTCTATTAATATTTACACATATGTCTCTCAGGCTTTGAGACCCTTGAGGACAGAAAATATGTCTCAGCCACCACTGTACCTTCATTGAGCCTGGCATCAGTATTTTGCAGAGAAGGGACTCAAAAAGATACGTGTGTTAAATGAATGAGCAAAAGTCTGGAGAATATGAATTTCAGATTATGGAAGAGATCAGAAGACAACTTTTTTTGATAAATAAAACTATCACAGAGAGGCTTTTAAGAGAATAAATAGATAAATCAGCAAGAAATATAGAATGACCCTTACTTCTCCAAGCTGTTGCTTGAAAAAATATTGTTAGAGAAAGGGAGAAATGTAGAAGAGAGCTAAAGGTCTTCATTTAATTAGGCAGTATTATTATGACTCTTTAACAGACAACTCACTTCTTTGTGCAGCCCACAATATACACAAGGAGTAATCCTAGCAAGAGCCTGCCTACTGCTACAGCAACATAAAGTTGTTATGAGACTTTTAACTGTTTGGTAGTGATTACTAGGAAGATGAACTGAGGGGCCCATCAGCAAAACCTACCCAAAACCTACTGCTAGGGTATAGAAAAGCATGACAGAAGAGAGGAGGAGGGAAGGAAGCAGGAGAGAACAGAGAAGGGAGCACACAAAAAGTATTAGGAAAACAAAAGGAAATGAATTCAGTAAGTATCAGGAAGCCACATTCTAGCCCTCACTCTGCAACCTGCTAGGGACAGAATTAGATGAGGTCCTTTGCATTCTGGGCCTCAACTCTTCTCAAAATAAAGGTGTTAGACTAGAATAACATTTCCCCAAATAATGTATGTAGTCCTCAGATTCACAGGATACTGTTAGGTTTTATGCAAAAGGAAAAATGCACTTCTGTGATAAATCAAACTTGGAAAATGCTGGATTAAGCAAAACAAATGGGTTTCTTTGTTCTAGGATTCCCCATGCCTTTGAAGCTCTAATATGCTTTCTTTTTCTCATCTTTAAAAGGGGATAATAATGCCTACACCATAAAGTTCTTGTAAAGATTAAATGAATCAATTCTACAGAGCTTAATAAATGTTAGCTTCCATTATTATGGCTATGATCATTATTATTAGTAATCTGGAAAGGAGAGGGATATAGAATATAGCATCCTCCACATTTAGGAGTCTATAGAAATCTCTTATTCATTGACTTGTGAACTTTCTCACTGGGGGCTAATATTTCTCATTACACCACCTGAGAAATCCTGTCTAGGATGATCCTCTGGTCCCTTCCATATCTGATGTCCTGTGACTTCACAGTAAAGCTTCCAAACATAGGCTCCCATACCCTGAGCAAGCATATAAAAAAGCCCATAACAAGTACTGCATGAGCGTTTGTTGAATGAACACATGAATGATTCACTTTTAAAGTCGAGAACATCCAGTTCACAGGCTCAAATTACAGCCCTGCCTCCTAGCTGGAGGTGTTTTTCAGAGTCTGCGGTTTGGATATTCTAACAGGGAAATATGAACTTTCAGTATATCTTCAAATGCTCAGTGTTATCCCCTCCCAGGCTAATTTGCCTGCAATCATCCAAGCCGATAGCTGCTTCATTCATTCACTCATTTATTCATCCATTTAACAAATATCTACAAAATTCCCCCAAGTTCCATGCATTGTTACAGCAATGAGGAGATGATGATGAATCATTCACAGAACATGCCTTCACAGTAACTGCAGTCTCCTAGATGATAAAAGATATGTACAGTAATCATAATTTAAGGTGAGTAGTGGGGAGAGCAGCCACAGTTTAATGCATTCACAGATGACAGTTGCCTTTGAAAAGCAGGAAAGTCTTCAGGAAAAAAAGGCATGTGGCATTTAATGTGGATTTTAAAGGATCTGGACACATGGATATTTTAGGCAGAAGGAATTCATGAATTAATACCCCCATAATATCAACAACCTAAATCATAATACAGGCCCCATCATATGCCACAACCTAGCAGTGTGTGAAGCCCTGGAATTATGTCACAGGTCTGCCACATACTAGTCACTTGGACTAAGAAGGTAATCTCTCCCATTTTCTTGATTACTTGTAAAATGTGAAAATTAATGTGAGATGAGTAAGCAATGGTAATACTTACAATTTATTTAGCCCTTGCAAAATTACAAGTACCATTTTAAGCCTTTTATATGGATTAGCTCATTTAATCTTGACAACAAACACATTTCTCAGGCAAAGTAGTTTGACCAAGGTCAAAGAGCAATGAGGATTGAAACCTAGACTTTTCCTCAATTCCTTCTTACGATAGACCCTGACCAAATCTTACTAATTGGTATTATCTCCATTGTTCCAGCGAAGAAGCTAAAGCCCAACAAGATTAAGAAACTTGCTGGCCCAAGATTACACAGCTAGTAAGTTTCAGGTCTGGGGTTCAAACTCAGAACTGTTGGATTTGCTTGCCTGTGCTCTTAAAGACCTCACATGTTCTTAGGATGACAGCAGCAATAGCATCAACAATAGCAACAGCAGTAAATGTCTATAAAATCACTTAATATGTGCCAGACACTGTTTTTGCATTGCATATAGATTAACTCATTTAGTCCTCATGATGATCCCATGAAGTAAGTACAAGTGAGAAAAGTGAAGTATGTGGAGCTGGTAGGTAAATTGCCCAGAGCCATACAGCGAGGCATTGGCACACCTGAGACTTGTACTCAGGTAATCTGGCTTCAGACTCTGAGTTATTAACTATGACTCCATAATCCTTCTTTACAGGAAGGGGTAGTGGTTAACGGGATGCATTTTGGAACTTTAAAACCACCTATCTTACTCAGGAGAAGCTCTAAATAATCTAAATTTCAAGGGCGACATATCTATAATACAAAGTGTTCCATGAGGATTACTCCTTTTCTCAGTTGGGTTGTTCATATTGTCATTAGATAGACTGAGTAGGAGTTAGGAAAAGATTTCATCAAATGAATGAATGATGTGGAACTTTCCATATGTTTAAATTGACTTTGTCTATAAGCACCCTCATAGATGACATCTCAAAACTTTTAAAATAGGAGCATAGGCCGGGTGCGATGGCTCACTCCTGTAATCCCAGCACTTTGGGAGGCCAAGGCAGGCGGATTATGAGGTCAGGAGATCGAGACCATCCTGGCTAACATGGTGAAACCCCGTCTCTACTAAAAATACAAAAAAAAAAAATTAGCCGGGCGTGGTGGCAGGTGCCTGTAGTCCCAGCTACTCAGGAGGCTGAGGCAGGAGAATGGCATGAACCTGGGAGGCGGAGCTTGCAGTGAGCCAAGATCATGCCACTGCACTCCAGCCTGGGCAACAGAGCGAGACTCTGTCTCAAAAAAAAAAAAAAAAAAAAGGAGCATATATCCAGTGTGTTATTGCATTTGTGTGCTTACACAGTATATATAAAAAGAAGTGGAGGTAGCTATTAAAAGTATGATAGCCAAGTTAAAAAATACACCTTAAAATTAGAAAAGATTAGAGTTTCCAAAGCATAAATGAAAGGAATCCTATGGAGTCTTTTTATTTTTACCATTTCATGTTCTGTAACCTTCATTTTAATGGTAGCTATCATCTTCTCAAATGTGGTAGGCATTTTCTTAAGCTAGCAATGATCATCAACCCTTGGAATTAAAAGGCACCAATAATCATCTGATAATTTGTGCCAGTGAAGCCATTTTCCTGATGTTTTCTTTTGGTCATTTGTATTCAAAATTGTGAAAAATGCATAAGGTGGATTTTCTGTTGAAAACAAAAGGAAGATGTATTTTGGCTAACTGCTTTGTGCAAGAGTTGTTTAGGAAATAAGAGCTACTGTTAAACGGCAAGATAAGTGTGCAATTAGTGACAACTGTGGAGGAATTAAAGAGCAGGAAAATATTACAGTGAGTCTAAGCTAATGGCATGAAAATAAAAACTCTTCACTCTCAAGGCAATCTCCTCTGCCTCCTTGCTTTATATTTAGAGCCCTTTTCAATTGACTGCAGGTCATGAAAAACAAAAAAGAAATTATCATCCATCTTTTGCTTGCATTTGAAACTGCAATATGAAGTCATTATTAGTAGAAGTAAGTCATTTTAAAAGTTTATTACATCTATAATACATATAAAATATTAATAATGGTATTTATTGAAATATAATGATAACTAACAATTCCTGAGAATCACTATGTGCCAGGCTCTATCCTTGTTTCACAAGCATTAGCTCATTTAGTCCTCACAATGTATAAGGATGAGTCATGTTAACCACTGAGAAAATGACAGCTCAATGAGCTCAAGTAATTTATCAAAGACCATACAGATTATCAGGGGTGAAGCAGGATTCCAGCCTATGGCCATCTGACCAAAAACCTGCTCTCTTAATGGCCATTCTGTATGCCAGTTTTTCCTGTTGTTATTTCCTCTAGGCTTAAGCAATTCACTTGAAACAGCAGAGAAATCTAATAATGGCTACATTATTATTTGATAGTTGCATATATTTGAGCTTCTCAAAAAGGAAGTTCTGAAACACAGGAAAGTGCCTGGGATACTGAAGCCACAGGGTTTATAATAATGTCCCTTCTTGGAATCTTAAACCTAGTCAATGACTTAGGAGTAATCGGTAATTAAAAACATTATTTTTACATTAAAACTAATCAGATGGAGTTGATGAAATAGAAGTCATATGCATTTTTAAGGTAAAAAATGAGGATTCAAAGAAATGTTGGATTCAGCGCTATCTCCCAAAAGGGCTAAGGCCCACACCTAGAAGCGTGATTCATCCTTCTCAAGTCAACATCACACCTTACCCCGCCCAGCATCCTCCTCCTTCTGATGGTAGCACTGTGATTTCCCTCTAGGGAACCATCCCTCATACACACTCTCACTTCTGGTGATTCAGGATGGATCCCATTCCTGGCTCTATGGAAAGCCTGTGAACCAGATCTGACCAATGGGACTCAATTATAGAGTCCCATTATAGGTAATTGGGAAAGAGAAGTTCTTTGTCTGGACTTGAAGCTGAGAGGAGGATGCCCTGGAGCTGCTCTGGGCCATCTGGCCACTACACGGGCAGAGTTTGTTAAGAACAAAGCCCACACAGAGGAAATCAGAGCCAAGTGATGGGGCAAGACTAATTCCTGCTGAAATTGTTTGAGTCTGGCTATGCCTGAGGCTAACTCCTGAACTTATTAGCTATGCAAGCCAGAAATTTTTTGTGTGTGTAAATGTGTTTGTGCTTCTGTCGCTTGCAGCCAAAAGTATCCTAATACTGTGTCCATCAATCCATTTGATTATTATGAAAACTCAGATGTCAAGCTGTTGGCAAAGGATGGAGAGAAAAATTCAGGGCTGCTGGTGGTGTTTCCACAATCTAGTTTATCTTCATATCATGGGAGAAAAAGGATCAGGACCCTAGAAAAAGGAGAGGCTTATGGAAATGAACAGTCAGGACCCTCTACACTTACACAAGCACATAAATCAAGCAATGAAATTAAAATGATTTACCCCGCCCCCCACAAATGGCCAGGATTCCCAGAATAAATAATTCTTTCTGTTCCCATCATAATACAATCGTTGATAGGCCTGGGTAGAAATGACCTGCATGATGAGACAAAGAAGAGAATAAATGTGAATTATCAATTATCCTACCCTTTAAGAAAACCATTTGCTGTTTTAGCAAAGAGAGAAATAATTTAAGAATGATGCTTGTTTATACGTATTTCTACACACCTGTTCTATTATTCAAAGAACCTGAGTCTAGAACTGGCTGTGATTTTATTTGTTGGGCTCTTAACTTGGAAACTTTATTACCTGTTAGCTCCATAAAAGTAGAGTGGTGGCCAGGTGTGGTGGCTCATGCCTGTAATCCCAGCACTGTGGGAGGCCCAGGTGGGTGGATCACGAGGTCAGGAGATCAAGACCATCCTGGCCAACATGGTGAAATCCTGTCTCTACTAAAATACAAAAAATAATAATAATAATTAGCCGGGCATGGTGGTGTGTGCTTGTAGTCCCAGCTACTCAGGAGGCTGAGGCAGGTGAATCGCTTGAACCCGGGAGGTGGGGACTGCAGTGAGCTGAGATCATGCCACTGCACTCCAGCCTGGTGACACAGCAAGATTCCATCTCAAAAAAAAAGCAGAGTGGTATCAAAGAATGACCAATGTCAAAGAAAGCTAAGCTAAGCTCTGAAATCCAATCTCAACTGTGTTAACTATTGCCGTGTGGGATTGGGATTGTGACCTTGAAGGTATCCCCAGGTTTGGCCTGGGGGTCC
The DNA here is from genome assembly GCF_000001405.40 of Homo sapiens. Taxonomy (NCBI): domain Eukaryota; kingdom Metazoa; phylum Chordata; class Mammalia; order Primates; family Hominidae; genus Homo; species Homo sapiens. The sequence continues at coordinate 155,528,258 of NC_000005.10, read as the reverse complement.
ATCAGTTTCTTTCCTGATGGTCAACACACTCTCATCACCTTTGCCAGACCAGTCTCCCCTTCCCCTTGAACTAATTTCTACCAGCTGTCTCAAATCTTGCTGTTCTACCTACTGGGAGGCCCTCTTCTGCACCTGTCTCAATCTCACCTCCCTCCCAGCATCCATTTTAAGTCCTACGTACTCTGCAAAGTCCTCCTTACTATCTCAGTATACACTTATTTTCTCCTTCTGAGTTTTCAGAGCACAGAATACCAAGGAGGATGGTTTCAAGTTATTTAGTCCAACCCCACCCTCTTCCCACCAATCTGTGGTTTATGTTTTTAGCCACTGTAAGCATACATTCCTGCCTGAGGCCTGAAATTCATACACATGAATGAGAGGTGTAGGAAGGAAGAAAATGGGGCTAAGGTACATATTGAATGTAGGACTCGCTGAGTTATCATGTTTTCTGAAACATTACCCACACACACACATACATACACACACACAAGCCAAACTGTTGGCTGACAGAACCCTGTCAGGACCATGGACCACCAGTCTGGAGCCTGTTGTCTATCATCTCAGCCATGCCATGATAACGAATCCTAACTGAAAACTACAGTTATGTGGAGCACACTATTTCCCATTCCATTTACTTCAGCTCTATTAGAAATCCTTCTTTAGAAATCAATTAATACCTAGAGTCTTTGCTGCATGAGGAAGCACTCAACCATCTCAAATCTCTTGTATCATTCCACAGGTATTTCAAACGCATTAATAGTCTTATTCCCTAAATGTAAGCTTTTTGAGAGCAAGACACAAGCTGTTATGTGGCACACAAGGTTGGATTAGAGATTGATTTTATTCCTTCGACTCATGCACCATATACTGACTATGGAAGTGTCTTGTTTGAACATAATTTCTCTGGAGGCCTATTTTAGAAAATGACAAATGAAGTGGCAAAGCAATTAAATCCAAAATGCCCACCCACAGGATGTTGGAGAGGATCTCTCATTTCATCCAGAAGTGTTGATTATGATATGATTTTGTTGTTGTTGTTTTGATGTGTCTGGAAAGTAAAAATTCCTCAAGCATTCAGCACCCTGAAGTTATGCATAAATGTAGCAATTAAGTTTTCTTTTTTCCCAAGCTGGTGTCAGGAGGAATAAAACACCAAAACACATTAAATCCACTTAGGCAAGGCAGGTTTTAAAAAAAGAAAAACTTTAATGGGCCAATATCTTGTCAATAATTCTCAGCTTCAGTTTAAAAACAGATATCATGGTTATTTGACTAATTTTCCTTCCATTTTCATATACTTTGGAGGTTTTCTTACCTATGCCATCAGCCAGGTTAGGTCCTACCAACTCTCAAGTGAGGCTCGTTTAGTTCAGTGCAGCCAATCAGCGCCAAAGGGCACAGCTCAGAAGTCCTAAACATCCTCTGTAAGGGACCAATAAAGAGAACACGCTTGCTAGCCATTGCTGACAATAGAATGAAGGAACAATCAGGGTCTCAAAAAGTCCCTTAAAGAAAAGCACCTGTGGCCGGGCTAGGTGGCTCACGCCTATAATCCCAGCACTTTGGGAAGCCGAGGCGAGCAGATCTTGAGGTCAGGAGATCGAGACCATCCTGGCTAACACAGTGAAACCCGTCTCTACTAAAAATACAAAAAATTAGCCGGGCGTGGTGGCACATGCCTGCAGTCCCAGCTACTTGGGAGGCTGAGGCAGGAGAATTGCTTGAACCCAGGAGGCAGAGGTTGCAGTGAGCCAAGATCACGCCACTGCACTCCAGCCTGGGTGACAGATGAGAGTCCATCTCAAAAAAAAAGAAAAGAAAAGAAAAGCACCTGTATCCATGGCTGGAACAGAGTTGACACTTGACTACTGATTGGCAAATGAATGTTGAATGAGGAAATAACTTCCTAATTTGGTTAGGTTTTAAATTTGATAGTTTTGCAACGAAAAGGAAAACAGAGGTAGGGAATCCAGAAATTGATTATTAAATGACATTTACTTATTTTACTCTAGAGTGTGAATGAGACATTATTCTGTTAATGTTGTACATACGTGTGTTTGTTTTTTATAAGCTTGCTCAATAAGAAACTCACCCCCACACATTTTATTTCTTCTGTATGAGCTCATTAATATCAAGAAATAATGCCTGAAAACCCTGTGGGGAAAATACTATTTTAGGTTAATAGTGCTAAATAACAATAATATTTATTGAGTATTTATCATGTTCAATGAACTTCACATATATTTTCTCAATCTTCCTAACAACCATTTGAAATAATGAATATCATCTTCCATTTAAATATGAGAAAACTGAGGCACAGACAGATTAAGTATTTTACCTACAAGAATATAGTTTTTTTTTGAGACAGGGTCTCACTCTGTCACCCAGCCTGGGGTGCAATGGCACAACCGTGGCTTACTGCAGCCTTGACCTCCTAGGCTCAGGTGATTCTCTCACCTCAGCTTCCCAAGTAGTTGGGACTGCAGGCATGCACCACCATGTCTAGATAATTTTTTGTATTTTTTTGTAGAGATGGGGTTTTGCTAGGTTGCCTAGGCTGGTCTCAAATCCCTGAGCTCAAGCAATCTGTCCGCCTCAGCCTCTCAAAGTGCTGGGATTACAGGTGTGAGGCACTGCACTTTGCCCAGATACAATTATTAAATAGGGGAGTTGAGATGTGAACTCTGACTTCAAAGACAGTGAATGTAAACACTGTGTTTTTGAATCCCACCTTTATTGCACCAAATGGTGTCCCAGTGAATCACTTTCATGAGACACTGGTGTTCCTAAGTAGCAACTAGCTTAAATTCACCAAATTAGCATCTCCAAATCTGTCTTCCATGGAATGCCACTCTTCTGTCAGGTATTTATTGGCAGAACAATTTGATCAATTATGTTTTAGAAACTTGAAAATAAGCCAGGGCAAACAGGTTGCTCTACTATAGCACCCCACAGAGCCTCGGATATGCCAATATGGGTTGCACTTAAAGTAAAATGCAAACTCCTCAGCATTTATTAGACCCATCACCTGGCTTCTGCCTACCTTTCCATATTCAAACCATGACACTCACATCTAATCCCATGCCCTAACCAACACCCCTACCTTCATTTCTTCCCCTCAGCCAGACTTCACTGCCTCAGAGTCTGTCTCAGCCGTTGCAGCTCCCTGTTCACTCAGCTCTTCCCATGACTGACTCTTGCCTCTCACCTGTCAGGCCTCAACTGAAATGTCAATTCTTTCATCAAGCCACCCCATCTAAAGCACATCTTACTCATTCCAGTTATCCTTAACATATTACCTCTTTTATTTCCCCCACACTCCTTGTTCATTTCCCTATTTCCTTATCTGTTAATTGATTATGGACCCTCTTTAACTGAAAGGTCCACAGGAACATGAGGATACAAAATCCAGAAGGACAAGGACAGTGCCTATCTTTTTGTTTTTTTTTTTTTTAGACGGAGTCTTACTCTGTTGCCCAGGCTGGAGTGCACAGGCATGATCTCGGCTCACTGCAGCCTCTGCCTCCCGGGTTCCAGCAATTCTCCTGCCTCAGCCTTCTGTGTAGCTGGGATTACAGGCATACGCCACCACACTCGGCTAATTTTTATATTTTTAGTAGAGATGGGGTTTCGCCATGTTAGCCAGGCTAGTCTCAAACTCCTGACCTCAGGTGATCCGCCCACCTCGGCCTCCCAAAGTGCCGAGTACAGGCTTGAGCCACCGTGCCCAGCCAGACAGTGCATATCTTACTCAGTGCTAAGTACTCTTTACTTACCACAATCTCCAACAACTACAGATGCCCGGGAAATGTGTCAAATAAATGAATGAATCTCCAAGTAGACCTAGCATATTCTAAAGAAATCTGGCCATATAAGATCATCTTTTAAAAATACCTATTATAGCTCACAGAAAGTTTGTATTCCACAGAAAACAGTTTGTGAAAAGCAAAACTAAACCAAATAAAGTCTCAATATTACTCAAAAGAAAGGAAAATTTAAACTACACTATTTCTGGCCTATCTTAGAATAGCTGTGCATTAAAATTAATATTGTTAGGGGTAGAGAGGGGCAGAGCAAGATAGCTGAATAGGAAGCGCCACTGATCATTCCCCTCCACAGGTACACCGAATTTAACAACTATCTACACAAGAAATCACCTTCTTAAGAACCAAAAATCAGGTGAGCACTCACAGTACCTGGTTTTAACTTAATGTCACTGAAAGAGACACTGAAGAGGGTAGGAAAGACAGTCTTGAATCGCCAGTGCAATGCAACTCCTCCCCTTTCCCCCAGCAGTGGCCAAGTGGCATGGAGAGAGAACCTGTGTGCTTGGGAGGGGGATGGCACAGTGATTGTGAGTCTTTGCATTGAACTCAGTGTTGCCCTATCACAGTGCAAAGTAAAATCAACCTGCACTCAGCTGATGCATGCCCACTGAGGGAGAAATTAGACAAGCCCTATCCAGAGGGGAACCACTCATCCCAGTTCCAGCAAGCCTCACCACCATGGGATAAAGTACCATGGGGCCCTAAATTAACTCAAAAGGCAGTCTAAACCACAAAGACTGGAACTCCTAGGTTGAATCCTAGTGCTGAACTAAGCCCAGAGCCAGTGGACTTGGGAAGCATCCAACCTACTGAGATACCAGCCAAGGTGGCTAAGGGAGGGCTTGCACCAACCCTCCACCAATCTCAGAAAGCGCAGCTCATGGCTCTAAAAGAGACCTCTTCCTCTCGCTTGAGGAGAGGAGAGGGAAGAATAAAGAGGACTTTGTCTTACATCTTGGATACCAGCTCAGCCACAGTAGGATAGGGTATCGGTCAGAGTTGTGAGGCCCTCATTTCAGGCCGTAGCTCCCAGATAACATTTCCAGATGCATCTGGGCCAGAAGGGAACCCACTGTAAGGATCTAGTTCTGGCAGAATCCATCACCTGCAGAATAAAGAGCTCTTGGGCCCTGAATAACCATCAGTGCTGCCCAGGTAGTAGGTCATGGGCCTTGGGTGAGACTCTGAGACATGCTGGCTTCAGGCACCAGCTTGGTCACAGTGGATAGAGCACCAAGAAGGCTCTTAGGATCCCTGATTCCAGGCCTTGGCTCTTGGATGGCATTTCTGGACCTGCCCTGGCCCAAAGGGGAGCCTACTGCCCTGAAGGATGAGTCCCTGGCCTGTCAGCATTCACCACAAGCTGACTGAAGAGTCCTTGGCCTCAAGTGAACATTGGTTGTAGTCTGGAAGTACTCCCTGTGGGCCTGTGGTGGTGGCCAAGGGGTGAGTCTCATCTGCCTGCAGAAAAGGGAAGAAAGAGTGGAAAGAACTGTTTTGTAGTTTGAATGCCAGCTCAACTGCAGTATAATGGAACACCATGTACATTTCTAAGGTTTTATTATTTTTTTTTACTCAATTCCCTGGCTCCTGGACAGCACCTCTGGACCAGCCTGAGGCCTGGGGGGAACTCACTACCCTGAAGGGAAGGATACATGTCTGGCTGATTTCACCACCTGCTGATTGTAGAGCCCTTGAGCCTTGAGCAAACAGGCGGTTGCCAGATAGGGGTTACAGTGGCCCTTGGATTCTTATCAATCCAGTGCTGTGTTGGATTCAGGTCTAACCCAGAGCAGTATTAGAGGTGGTGGCCACAGGGTGCTTGTGTCACTCTATCTGCAGCTCCAGGTGGCTCAGCACACAGAGAGAGACTCCATTTTTTTGGAAGTAAAAGAAGAGAACAGAACAAAAGTCTCTGCCTGGTAATCTAGAGAATTCTTCTGCATATTACCCAAGACCTATTTATGAGATAAAAATAGAAACAACAAAAAGTTAAAAAGTGGGGGAATGAAGTTAAAGTGTACAATTTTTATTAGTTTTCTTTTTGCTCTTTTGTTTATGCAAGCAGTGTTAATTTGTTATCAGCTTAAAATAATGGGTTTTTAGATAGTATTTGCAAGCCTCATGGTGAACTCAAACCAAATAAATATATGACAGATACACAAAAAATAAAAAGCAAGAAATTAAATCATATCACCAGAGAAAATCACCTTCACTAAAAGGAAGACAGGAAGGAAGGAAAGAAGAAATTGAACACAAAACTATGAGAAAACAAATAACAAAATGGCAGGAGTAAGTCCTTGCTTATCAATAATAGTGTCGAATGTAAATGGACTAAACTCTTCAATAAAAAGACATAGAGTGGGTGAATGGATTTTAAAAAAAAAGCAAGAATCATTGATCTGCTGCTTATAAGAAACATAGTTCACCTATCAAGACACACATAGAGTGAAAATAGAGGGATTGAAAAAGGTATTCCATGTGAACTGAAACAAAAAAGAGCAGGAGTGGCTACACTTTCTGAGACAAAATATATTTCAAGACAAAAACTCTAAGAAGAGACAGGAAAGGCTATTATATAATGATATTGGCGTCAATTCAGAAGATAATCTAACAATTGCAAATATACATGCATCCAACACTGGAGCACCCAGATATGTAAGACAAATATTATTAGAGCTAAAGAGAGGGACTCCAATACAACAATATCTAGAGATTTCAACAACCCACTTTTAGCATTGGAAAGATATTCCAGACAGAAAATCAACAAAGAAACATCAGACTTAATCTGCATTATAGACCAAATGGATCTAACAGATATTTACAGAACATTTCATCCAATGACTGCAGAATATTCATTCTTTTCCTCAGCACATGGATCATTTTCAAGGATAGACCATATGTTGGGTCATAAAATAAGTCTTAAAACATTCAAAAAATTTTAAATAATACCAAGCATCTTCTCTGACCACAACAGAATAAAACTAGAAATTAAAAATAACAGGAATTTGGGAAACTATAAAAATACATGGAAATTAAACAACATGCTCCTGAATGACCAGTGGGTCAATGAAGAAATTAAGAAAGAAATTGAAAAATTTCTTGAAATAAATGATAATGGAAACACAACATATCAAAACCTACAGGATACAGTGAAAGCAGTACTAAGATGGAAGTTTATAGCTGTAAATGCCTACATGAAAAAAGAAAAACTTTAAACTACTTCATACATCTTAAAGAACTAGAAAAGCAAAAGCAAACCAAACCCAAAATTAGTAGAAGAAAAGAAATACTAAAGATCAGAGGAGACATTAAGTGAAATTAAAATGAAGAAAACAATACCAAAAATCAACGAAACAAAAAGTTGGTTTTCTGAAAAGATAAACAAAATTGACAAACCTTTAGCCAGATAAACTAAGAAAAAAAGAGAGAAGTCCCAAATAAATAAAAGCAGAGATAAAAAAGGAGACATTATAAACTACATGGCAGAAATTCAAAGGATCATTAGTGGCTACTATGAGTAACTATATGCCAATACATTGGAAAATCTAGAAGTAATGAATAAATTCCTAGACACATACATCCTACCAAGATTGAGCCATGAAGACACCCAAAAGCTGAACAGACAAATAACAAGTAATGAGATCAAAGCTATAATAACAATTGTTCCAGTAGAGAAAAACCCACGACCTGATGGCTTTACTGCTGAATTTTGCCAAATATTTAAAGAACTAATACCAATCCTATTCAAACTGTTCCAAAAAATAAAGGAGGGAATACTTTTAAACTCATTCTACCAGGCCAATATTACTCTTATGTGAAAACCAGACCAAAACACATCAAAAAAAAAGAAAACCATAGGCCAATATCCCTGATGAATATTTATGCAGAAATCCTAAACAAAATACTATCAAACCGAATTCAGCAGCATAGAAAGATCGTTCATCATGACCAAATGGGATTTATCCCAAGGATGCAAGGATGCGAGGATGGTTCAACATACACAAATCAATCCATGTGATACATCATATCAACAGAATGAAGGACAAAAATCATACAATCATTTCAACTGATGCTGAAAAAGAATTTGATAAAATTCAACATCCCTTCATAATAAAAACTCTCAAAAAGTTGGGTTTATAAGGAATATACTCAACACAATAAAAGCCATATATGACAGACGCATAGCTAGTATCATACTGAAAGTCTTTCCTCTAAGATGGGGAACATGACAAGGATGACCACTCTCACCACTGTTATTCAACATAGTACTGGAAGTCTGGGCTAGAGCAATCAGACACAAGAAAGCAATAAAAGGCATCCAAATTGTAAAGGAAGAAGTCAAATTATCCTTGTTTGCAGATGATATGATCTTATATTTGGAAAAACCTAAAGCCTTCATCAAAAAAACTATTGGAACTGATAAATTCAGTAAAGGTACAGGATACTAAATCAATGTGCAAAAATCACTAGCATTTCTATATGCCAATAGCAAATAATCTAAAAAAGAAATCAAGAAAGTAATCTCATTTACAATAGCTACAAATAAAATAAAATACCCAGGAATTAACTTAACCAAATAAGTGAAAGATCTTTACAATGAAAACTATAAAACCTTGATGTAAAAAAATTGAAGAAGACACCAAAAAGTAGAAAAATATTTCCTGTTCATGGCTTGGAAGAATGAATATTGTTAAAATGTCCATACTACCAAGAGCAAATCTACAGATTTCATGCAATCTCTACAAAAATACCAATGACATTCTTCACAGAAATACAAAAAAAATTCCTATGGAACCACAAAAGACCCAGAATAGCCAAAACTATCCTAAACCAAAAGAACAAAGCAGGAGAAATCACATTACCTGACTTTAAATTATACTAAAGAGCTATAGCAACCAAAATGGTATGGTACTGGCATGCAAACAGACACATAAATCAGTAGAACAGAATAGAGAACCCAGAGATAAATCCACCCATCTACAATGAACTTATTTTTGACAAAGCTACCAAGAACATACATTGGGGAAAGGACAGTCTCTTCAATAAATGGTGCAGGGAATATTGGATATCAATATGCAGAAGAATTAAAGTAGACTCCTATCTCTTGCCATATGCAAAAATCAAATCAAAATAAAGACTTAAATCTAAGGCCTCAAACTATGAAACTACTAAAAGAAAGCACTGGGGAAACTCCCCAGGAAATTAGAGTGGGCAAAGAAGTCTTAAGTAACACCTCACAAGCACAGGCAACCAAAGCAAAAATGGACAAATGGGATCACATCAAGTTAAAAAGCTTCTGCACAGTAAAGGAAACAATCAACAAAGTGAAGAGACAACTGACAGAATGGGAAAAAATATTTGTGAACTACCCACTGACAAGAGATTAATAATCAATGTATATAAGGAGCTCAAACAACTCTATAGGAAAACATCTAAAATCTGATTTAAAAATGGGCAAAATATCTGAATAGACATTTCACAAAAGAAGACTTACAATGACAAACAGGTATATGAAAAGGTCCTCAATGTCTTTGATCATCAGAGGAATGCAAATCAAAACTACAGTGAGATATCATCTGACCACCATTAAAATGGCTTTTATCCAAAAGACAGGCAATAACAAATGCTGTCAAGAATGCGGAGAAAAGGGAACTCTCATATACTGTTAGTGGGAATATAAATTAGTGCAACTACAACCACTATGGAGAACAGTTTGGAGATTCCTCAAAATTTTAAAAATAGAGGTACCATATGATCCAGCAATCCTAATTCTAGGTATATATCCAAAAGGAAAGAAAATCAGTATATTGAAGAGATATCTGCACTTCCATGTTTATTGCAGCACTATTCACAATAGCCAAGATTTGGAAGCAACCTATGTGTCCATCAACAGATGAATGTGTAAAGAAAATGTGGTACATATACACAATGGGGTACTATTCAGCCATAAAAAGAATGAGATCCTGTCATTTGCAACATGGATGGAACTAGAGATCATTATGTTAAGTGAAATAAGCCAGGCACAGAAAGACAAACTAAGCATGTTCTCACTTATTTGTGAGAGCTAAAAATTAAAACAATTGAACTCATGGAGATAGAAAGTAGAAGGATGGTTTTCAGAGGCTGGGAAGGATAGTGGGTGTGGGTGAGAGGGAAGTGGGAATGGTGAATGGGTACAAAAAAATAGAAAGAATGAATAAGACCTAGTATTTGCTTGCACAACAGGATGACTATAGTCAAAAATAGTTTAATTGTACATTTTAAAATAAGCAAAAGAGTATAATTGAATTGTTTGCAACACAAAGGATAAATACCTGAGATGATGGATACTCCACTTACCCTGATGTGATTATTATGCATTGCATGCCTGCATCAAAATATCTCATATAACCCATAAATATATACACCTACTATGTACACATAAAAATTAAAAATTTTAAAAAGTTGTGGGAATATTTCTGATAAAATTATTAAATGTAGTAATTGGTATAATTATGATCAATTGGATCAATTAAATATGTCTAGCATTTCTAGAATGAATATGGAATTTTTCATCCTCAAAAATATACCTGGGCCAGACCAGGCATAGTGGCTCATGCCTGTAATCCCAGCACTTTGAGAGACCGAGGCAGAAGAATTGCTTGAGCCCAGGAGTTTGAGACCAACCGTGGCAACATGACAAAACCTCATCTCTACCACAAATACAAAACTTAGCCAGGTATGGTGGCGTGCGCCTGTAGTCCAAGCTACTCGTGGGGGCTGAGTTGAGAGGACTGATTGAGCCTGGGACAACAAGGCTGCAGTGATCTGAGATCGTACTACTGCACTTCAGCCTGGGTGACAGACTGCAAATATATATATGTCAAATACATATATACACCGGGACCAAATGGTGACTTTAGAAGTAATGCCTTTTTAAAATATAAATAGGCTTATTGAAATCCCTGAATTCCCCTGTGTGTTAGCCCAGGTCCTCTAAGAAAGACACACTAAAATGGATAGTGTAGGTGGAATTGTATCCCCAGAAAATCTGTTGAAGTCCTAATCCTTCAGTACTTGTGAATGTGATCTAATCTGCAAGTAGGATTTTTTGCAGATGATCAAGTTAACATGAGGTCATTAAAGTAAGCCCTAATTCAATATGACTGTGCCCTTATAAAAAGGGGAAATCTGGACACAGAGACAAACACATACAAAGGATAGATGATGTAAGGACAGAAGGAGAACATCACCTACAAGCTAAGAAACATCTAAGGCTATGGAAACTAGGAGAGAAGCATGGAACAGCCCTCAGAAGGACCCAAGCCTGCAGACACCTAGATCTTGAACTTCCAGCCTTCAGAATTGCAAGCAATACACTTCTTTTTGTTTAAGCCACCCAGTTTGTGGTAGTTTTTAAAGCAGCCCTAAGAAGCTAATACAGTGGATTAGACCTGCAAGAGATTAGAGAAGACACCTGTGTCGAAAAAGGGGGCTGGCATCAAAGGAGGATGGGAATCCCATCAGAGTTCCATGCAGGTCTGTCCCTTATGAAACAGAAAAGGAAGGAAGTTTAAGTGGGAGAGTCTTTGGCTGCACTCCAATTCTAAGAAAGCTTGGCAAAGCTGATAGGAGGTCCTTGAAACAAAGTTCTTGAACCCATAAGACAAGTCCCACATCTCTCAGGAATAGGCTGGTCTTAGTTTCTTTGCCAAGCTCAGTCATTGGCTGGGAGCAGCCCATGGGAAGTATGGCTTTACCTCTAATGTAGTGATGGCTTTCAGAACATGGCAGCTGAGAGAAATAGAGAAAGGAGAGGCACCTTTTCACTGCTTCCACATCTAGTCTTGCTTATATCATGAACGTCTTGCTGAAAGCTAAGCTATAAAGATTTTGGAATCTTTCTAAGAAAGTTACCATATAGATAGTGGTTAAGAGCCTAGCCTCCAAAATCAGAGGCTAATCTAAATCAATAGACTAGACATGAGTGTTAGTTCTTCCTCTGTTACTTACCAACTGTGTAATCTCAAGCAGCTAATAAAACTCTTTGGACCTCAGTTTCTTTTTCTGTAAAATGGGGATAACACCTACCTCAAAAGGTCACTGTAGTTTTAAATGAAAGAATGTAAGAAAAGCACTCAGCGTAGTTTCTGGCACATATTATCAAACAAAAAATATGATACATGGCTATAATACCATTATTATCATTATTATTGATATTATCAATTGATATTATTATTAATGATATTATCACTTTTGAGGTTTACTTCAGTTGTTTGTTTTGCCAGACCCACATTGCTTAGCTCCCCTCCTCCCTTCTTTAAATAACGAAGCTAGTCTTTCCTGTAGAGAACACAGGTGGTGATGAGTCCCTCACCACCTGCCCATCCCTGGGATAGTTGCAAATCTTAGAGATAGCTCATTAAAAGTTTCCATTTCCTGCATCATCAAGGATAGTGACATATCCTGATGGGTCTAACTGTGGTCATCCTCTTGTTAAATTAAGTTTAACCTAGGGCTGCCTCCTTACATATTTTAAGTTTGTCCTAAAGGTGTCACTGTACATGGTGAACTGTAACCTAACTGGAGGTGTAAACAGACTGTAAGCTACTCTTATGCCAATCACCTAGTTTGGGCCAATCAAGAAGCGGGGTCAATTGTTCAAACAGCAAATAAAGCAAATGCTGAGCTATAACCAATCCAGTTGTTTCTGTACCTCACTTCCATTTCTGGTACGTCATTTTCCCTTTTCTGTCCATAAATCTTCTTCTACCACATGGCCTTGGTGGAGTCTCTCTCAGACTACTCTGGCTCAGGGGCTGCCTGATCTATGGATAACTCTTTGTTCCATTAAACTCTGTTAAATTTAATTTGTCTGCAGTTTTCCTTTTATCATTGTCCACCCAAGCTTCTGGGCAAGAGGTTTTCTTTCTACAGTGGCTGTGAAGTCCTAAATGTTTCTGCAGAAGCTGGGTCCTGCTGACCCCTGCTATGTCAGTTTGTGCCACTCTCCCCTTTGTCCCCTGTCCTCCAGCTACACAGGCCTTCTTTCAGGTCCTCAGGTGTCATAAGTCCTTTCTTGACTGAGGCCTTTGCGTTCTCCTACTCCCCTGGCTGCTCCTGCACTTGGTCAGCTCGTCTTTCAAATATTGTCTTAAATATCCCTTCCTTGGAGAGACATTAAGATTTCTCTGAGGTCTCTAAGGTATCACTAAGTTAATATGTCTAAATCTAAATTCATGATCATCTAGCCAAACCTGGTCCTCTATCCCTGTGAACAGTTCCACCGTTCACAGAGGCAATTAAGTTAGAAGCATGAATTTTGACCTGCTGATGATAATCATGCATTGCCTGTGTGTAGAGCCATAGGAGAGCTAAAAATGCAGAACCTTGCAGCTAGCTATAACTGCACTTTGCAGATAACTGAGCCAATACATCTGATTTTCTTCTTAAGCAAGTTTGAGCAGGGTTTCTATTGCTAGAGTCAAAGCAGCCCAAGCTAATACATTTATCATCATCATCATCATCATCACTATCAACATTGTTAAGATATCTGTTGCTATTTTTATGTATTTAAAAAATTAGGGGCCCCATCTCTCCAGAAGATGTACATGTGACCTTATTGGCAGACAATGGGGTTCGCTTGATGACAAATCAGAGTTTCATCCAGATAAATGGTTTTAGGAACCAGAACGTCAGAGGTGAGCTTCTTGCTAAGGTTTTGCTGTCCTTAACCTTCAGCAGAGCTCATTTTTCACAGTCACAAAAATCATTTCACAAAACTTTGAGAACTCCATTCATCCATCCACCTGAGTGTCACTGAGAGTGATTTAGAAGGATTACAAATCTTCCGTGCCTTTCCGTTGTCCTTAGAATAGACAAAAATCTAGCCTGAGATCCCAGCACAGCATGAAGTAGAACACCTTGACACTAAGTCCAGTTTCTACTAGGGGATGAATCAGGGGTGGGGAAGCTGGGTGGAATGCATGATCTACGCTAAGCGCTTTCTGTTTTCTAGCCACAGTGATTGACTCAGGGGTGGACCTTAACCTCAGCTTGACCAGTCAGGTTGAGAATCAGACAATATTTACTGGGGTTGCTGAAACAAAGACTCTTCTTTCCTGCTGGGTATAAATGAGTAAGTGTAAAATTCCAGGAGCTTATAAAAACCATCCTGAGGCTCAAAGGTGAATCAGCCTAAGAATGAAAGCTAAACTTGGGGAAAGAAAAACAGAAATGGAGAAAAAATATCTGAGCCTCTGTGACATTGTTGAGTTACCTGATCAACCCTCACCTGGAGCCAGATCCTCCTGGACTTTTTGATTACTTGAATCAATAAATTTCCTTTATAGTTTAAGCCTGTACACAGGGTTCTCTGTATCTTGCAACCAAGCATCTGAAGAGACATATATAAACATATACATATATTTTTTTTCTGAAAAGAAGGTCAGAGTTTGTATCATATTCTCAAAAGATCTGTGACCCCAAATAAATATTTTTAAACCCTGGACTAAAGAATTCCTAATATTCCTTGCACTATTAGCATTCTGTGATCTTCTAGTTAACTTTGTTTTAAATTCCAAGCTTAGCTGATAGTGCATAAAGCAAGACACTATAAAAATATGTCTCCAAATAAAATTAGGCTTTTCTATTATAAAAAGAAGCATAAACTTATTGGAAAAAAATTTGAAAAATATGAAAAGTATAAAATAACAGGGAGACAGCCCATGTTAATATTTGGAGGTTATTTTTGCAAGCATTTTTGCACACAATTTTATGGAAGGTTTAATGTGGTTAAGTTCATACTATAAATACACAATGTTTTGTCTGAATATTTTTATTTGACATTATAACATAAGTATTCTCCAGAGTATTAGAAAGCTTTTGTAAGCATCTTTTTAAATGGCTACATAACTTTCTTCTGATCACTATAATTTCCTTAATGTTAGACAAAATGAGGTGGAAAATATGTGACCTTATTGAAAAAGGATTCTAGCTTGAATGTTAAACAAGGAGCCACTAGTGGTGGAAATATTCATCACGATTACAGTTAAACCATGGGTAAAACTTGGGGAAGGAAGTAGGAGTATCAGGATGCTCTAAGGAGCACTTCTCTCCTCATTTTTGCCCCTCTCTGAGTGTCATCTTCATACTTCTCTTGCTGTAGAATATCTTCCTCTGGTCCTTAGGCCACACTGAAGCTTATAGCCATTAATGGTCTTCACATTCCATGGTTAGCCCCTAGAGAGACTGACTCTAGCTAAATCTTGATGTCAGCTTACCAGGAGAGGAACTCTGACTGGTCTAACTCGAATCAGATGCCCACTCTGAGTCCTTTCGACTCTGCCACGGCAGGGGATGGGAGGTGGATGGTCATATGGTATAAAATGACTGCTGCTGGGAATTCACCAACATGAATTTGGGCCTCTCTCATATTGATCAGAAGAAGGAACAGTTCCCAGAAACAACCAACCAACCAACCACAGGTCATTGACTCATGCTCTGGGAAAATACTCCAAATTATCCTCCATAACAACAGGTTACAAATATGTCACCCTGCCCACATCCTAAACGTTTCCACTATTCTCTGCTCTAAATATCAATCTATATAAAAGACTTCCCCAATAGCTATGAGTTTTCCTGCTGGGCTCCACATGGTGATTAGATAAAAAGATTCATTTTTCATTTTCATGGCTTTTTTTTATTATTATACTTTAAGTTCTAGGGCACATGTGCACAATGTGCAGGTTTGTTACATATGTATACATGTGCTCATGGCTTTTTTTTTAAATCCATTTTCTGCCCAACTTCTTCAAGACCAGATTTAGCTGAGGCCAGCCTGTGCTAATTTGCAAGGTTGCATGAACTTTCTCATTGTTTGTAATACAAAACACTTCCCTCCAGGATCTTCCCTAACAAAGAGCTAAAAAATGCTGGCTTGTTCTGCATACTTGATTCATTAGGTTTTTGATGTCTCCTGCTTCCCATGGCTGCTCCATGGGTTGGGGAGGTTGGGGTGCAGCAGGCAGCAAGGAGGAGGAAGAGGATAGGTAAGAGAAAAGTAGCAGAGGATTTAAGTAACTCCTCTGGGCTCCAGTGCGTGTCTTGTAAATATTCATTGAGAACTCTCTGAAGTTTACACTCTTTTGAAGGGCACGGTTAATAAATGTGTATCTCTATGGAGACATAGAAGGGCCCATGTAGTCTGTTGCTTGCGGATCTAATTGGCAGTTACCCACATCTCATGTTTGTTAACTGTTCACAGTCTGAATGGCATTGATTGCAGGAATTTCCTTCCTTCAAGAGTTCTTCTGCCACTAGAAACTTAATCAGGGATTGTCCTAGTGCTGTAAGTAACACAAACAGAAATAAGACAGAGCCCAGATCCTAAAGATGTTTCCAATCTAATGAGTGAGCAAAACACTACAATGAGGTACATAGTATAATCAAAGAATGGGCAAAAGAAGGGGTAACTCTGTGAGATTAGAAAGCTTCATGGAGAAAGTAAAATTCACTTGCATCCTTAAAGTGAATATGATCCGGATGAGGAGAAAAGTGGTGGAGTGAAGAAGATACTCAAGTAAAAGAATAATATAACTAAAAAAGAAAGAGATGGTAAGACAATAAAAAACAATAAATGGCACTTATTCAGAGACCATTGCCTATTCCAGTAAGATTTTAACAGAAGGTGTAAATGGTAGATTTAGAAGACAAAATGGTGAAGAGACAGATGAAAGCCAGTCATTGGCAGACTCTAAATGTTGGGCTAAGGCATTTGGACTTTTTCTTGTAGCAGTGGTGGAGTCATAGAAGGTTTTTCAGTTAGAGAAAAAACAGGGTATTATTTTCCTTAAAAGTAAACTCTGGAGGCAGTTGAAAGAATGGATTGAGAAAAGGTTGAGAAGTTGTGCTATGCTTAGGCAAGAATCCCTCCAATTTTGACAGAGACAAAAGAATAGAAGAAAACCATCACCAATGTTTTGCATCTACAATAAGTACTTGAAATAATTTTCTTGTTTGAGACCAAAGGAAGGAGAGGTTCATGTAAGTTGGATTTATTAGGAAAAGAGGAGGTGGGTCTTAAGGAAAAGGTATGCAGCAATCCAATAAGTATTTCTAGACATCTCTAATTCAATTTAACATAAAGGATGTGTAATCTGAATAATGAAGAGGCAAGAGAAGAAGAGCATCCTAGATATTAAGTTGGTGCATTAGAGCAATGGCAAAAACTGCAACAACTTTTGCACTAACTTTTAGAAACACCATAAACCAAGACCCCCAAGGCCTGACAAGCAGGGCATGCTGGGAAAGCTTAGCGAGGCAGGCTGATGATCTTCAGTGAGACTTAAAATCAGATAGAAGGTAGAATAGGAGGATGAACTTCTTGAACCTTAGCTAGGGAAAAGCAGGTGTGGGCTGAACACAGTGATAATCCATTGCAGTGTGGTGAGCAAGGAAGTGTGAAGTTAAAGAAGTATTATGAGTCAAGTGGTCTTAGAGTGGACTGTGATTTATGTAGCAAAAAAGAAGTCACCTCCTCTGTGGTTACTCCCTCTATGTTTAAACCAAGATCATTCTACCATATTCCAGATCAGAAGGAAGAACATTTGCACCCAAAATGACCGACCAATACTCGCAACTGCAGTTGACAATACTCTCTGTAATAAGGCCCAGGCAATTTCTACCCCATCTCTTTTTGCAATTCTATAGCTGTGAAGTCAGTATTTTAAAAAATTAAAAAAAAAAAAGCACTAGGCTGTTTCTGCGGAGGCACTGGTCATCTTTGCTTGGGTATTTCTTCATGCATAAAATGAGGATTAATTATCTAGCCAGTTTTTGTAAAAGAGTTCTTGAGGGGACAGAATGACAGAAAGTATATGCAAATGCCTTGAAAGCAAAATCAGCAAAGTAAGCTGCATACAGTCAATATAATATTTGATTCAAAATTTAATCTGAGTATGTGGATAGCAATTGAAAAAAAAACAGCAAAAATCGAAACAAATGTTTTTCTTCTACACATAATATGGACCAGGTTCTATGCTAGAGGTTTTATATTAATAACTTCATCTAATTCTCCCAAGAATTCTATCAAATTTTATTCCTCTTTTTTCAGATGGAAACAGTGAGACTCAGAGAAGTTAAGGATCAGATTTAAGATCATGAAGTTAGAAACAGCAGAATTTGAACCCAGGCTGGCTGATAATAAAACTCATTCATATAACTTCTATACTACACTGCCTCCAAGGGACCCCAAGCTCAGTAGGATACCTAGAGATAAACCTGGAGATGGATTGACAAGGACAGACTCTCTGTATAGTTGACAGTCTCTCTGGATAGTTGATGGTCATACCTAGAGCTCAGCTCCCACTGAAGACACATGTCCAGCCTAGCGTCAGGCTGTAGGAGGCAAGGAAAAAGAAAGGATGGTATACTTTTTGATGATACAGCCATCAAAAGTAAGAGAAATAAGGCACAGGCTGGGTACATTACAGGTACACATAGCTGAAAACTGGAAAATAGCTATGGGTGGCATGGATGAATGAACAAAGGAATAGGTAGATACATTTATATACTTAGTGCTATGAAGTCCTCCCATTTTGCTGGGCAGTTGTCTTTGGCTAAATTGTATTTTTTTTAGTTCTTCTTTATACAATATTGCTTATGAGCACTTGGGAAAGGACGGGAGAAACAGATTCTCATGATTACTAAATCAAACCATTTTTGAGACTCTGAACAAGACAGTGCCTTGAAGCCAGTCCTTCAGTGTCTTATTTCTAGGTGTGACTGATCCAACATGCCCCAGTTAGCTAGTCCAGTAACTATTCAATCATACAAGGCTTCTATGGAAAAGATCTTGCAGGAAGACATGCCCAGGGAACATATTAATTATATGGCTCTGTCACAAAGCAACAAATGTCATGAATGGGTGAACTTATGGAGCTGCTATATGTTCCATGTATTCTGTACCTTGAGTAAATCCCGACCTACTTCTTTTATCTGTGGACACGGAGAGATGGGTAGTGTAGCATAGTTCTGGTTCTACCACTAAGTTGCTATAATATCTAGGAAAGTCACCACTTCTCTAAGCTTCTGTTTCCTGACCTATAAAGTGGGAACAATAATGTTGCTTATCTCAGGATATTCTGAAGATAAAAATGAAATGATGCATATTAAGTACTTAGCTTGGTGCCAGGAACATGATCATATTTCCAAACTGTTAGCTGCTTTATAATTATTACTGTTGTTACAAGTAATGTATCTACGATGGAAAACCCTCACAGCCCATCCTCCAACAGCAGAGGCAAAGAAGCAATGTGTCCTTGTTTTATAACCATTAAGATGTTTCTCTATAAAAATAAAAAAGGGGAAATGGTATTTTTTCTTTCATCACTGTTTCATCTGAAATAAAAATTTTATCAGGTATTCTATATGTGATAAAATAAATATAAAAGGGAAATTGTCTAGTGAGCCCCTCCAAATACTTACTTACAAACGATAGGTGTTCACAGCTTCAGCATGTTATAATCCTCCCAAGGTACAAAGTACAATGACCCATCAGATAAATTGCTGGAGACATAAGTGACCCGGATGGCAAGGGCTAAAAGACTGTGTTTGGAGCAGTAGCTTAGAGTCTGTCCCTCTGGTGGCTCATGGCTCCCCACCAGAATGTACAATTTATTCTGGCATTTCAGTAATACACCTTATGGTTAGCACATGACTTAGGTTTTCCATCATTTCTGATGCCCTTTCTTTTGCCTCTTTACGTAGGTGAATGATGTCTCATTTCATGGCCAATTCTTTTTGAATCTCAGAGATTCTTAGAATGTAAGACTTTGTAACAGATCTGGCAGAGAGCCTGCTTACAATCTAGGGATAGAGCCCACCCAGAATAATGGGCTAAGGGTGATAATAGGGATGCAGTTCTGGACGATTTCTGAGACTGCCTAAATGCAGACCAGGAAGCAAGTGGGTAGCAAAAGAGGTTCTTAGCAGTCAAAAGTATGAACCATAGCGTATTAATTCTGGAAAGGCTTTTAGGAATTCTTTATTCTAAGTTCACAAACTAGTGGCTTGGAAATCAAAACAAATCCAAAGAAGAGTTTTCTTTGGCATGCTTAGTCTTTAAGATTAATTTAAAGGAGATATCAACCTTTCAATATTAGGAAATCATGGATGGTAATCAAGATTTCTGGCTTCTCAAAAAAAAAAAAATCTGAAGGTTTTGATAACCCTGGGTCCAGTGGCAACAATCTGAGTATCAGCTGCCCTCTTCAAGGGTTTTCATGGTCCTGTGACCTCTGAAGTCTCCTCAATGTCGAAGCCAAGGGAAAGCTGTCATTTACTATTGAGACCGTGCTGCAGTGGTTTCTGTAAACATGCTGCTATCAAAAGTAGGAAAATATAAGATAGACCAGGAGAGCTTGGTTTTCCAAGGAAGATGAGAGAGGGAAAATGTATTTTCTGAAGTGTGGGCAATTTCTGTGCATTTATCATCCAAACCAAGTATGTCTTTGTCAAAAAATAAAATAAAACTTAAGGCAGACGCTGTTGTGAAACAAACGTAGGCTGCTTTAGTCATTATTCACCTGTCTAATTCCTATTGACACCTGATTTTGTAGCCCTGGGCTAATTCAACCCCAACCATTGTACAGGTAGAGAAAGTGGGGCACAGAGAAGGCCCAAGATCCCAGGTACACATGACCACACTAGTACCAGGCTACAAATCTATGAAATAATATTGCACATAGTAAAGAAGCAGGGGCCCAAGTGAGTGGTTTGTGTTAAGAAGGTGGATGGTGGAATGATGCAGGCATGGGGAGGTGCATATGGGTAGTGCTTAATCTAAGCACTGAAGGAAAGCCTTTGCATGCCTGATGTGCAGCATCACAAATTCTCTTGGCAACAGCCAGTTCTATGCAGGCTCCACCCAGCTTTGGGCAGGTTCTGCTTTGGGGCTTGGCATTCATACATGCACAGCCCAGGAGTACAGAGAAGTTAATACTCCTCAGGACCACCCTTGGCTGAAAAGGACAGATGCTGATGGGCAAAAGTGACTCTTCTTTATTCCCTCCAAATGCACACTTCTAAGACAATTTTACATGGCTTCTCAAAATATCCCATAAAACAGCAACAGTCACCTGTAGTGATGGCCAATTTCATAACATAGCCTCATTTTCTCTTTCTCCTTCCCCAGTGACTTAGCTCTGGCTGCTATAACAAAAATGTCAGAAATTGGATGGCTTAAACAACAAAAACTTATTTCTCACAGTTCTGGAGGCTAGGAAGTCCAAGATAACATGTCATCAGATCCAGTGTCTGGTGAGGTTCCATCTCCTTTTTTTGCAGATGCTGACCTTTTGTCCATATCTTCATAGGGAAGAGAGAGAGAGAGCAAGCACTCTCATGTCTCTGCTTATAAGGGCACTAATCCCACTGAGGAAGATGACCTTATGACCCACTCTTATGATCTAATTGCTTCCCAAGGGCCTTATATCCTAATACCATCACACAGGGAATGAGGCTTCAACATATGAATTTTAGGGAGACTCAACATTCAGTCCGTAGCACCCAGTCACCCTCATGTCTGATAACTGGAACATACCTCCAAATAAACTACTCCCAAGGAAGCCTGTGTCTCAGGCTTTGCTTTAGGGGAGCTCAGGCTAAGACACGAGTTCCGTGGTGGTAGAAGACAGATAGATATCATTTCAGATAGGGTGGCAGGTAATGTTCAGGGACAGGACTGCACATCTCCGAAGCAAGGCTTCTTGGCAAAGGAATACCTGGGAATAGTTAGTTTCCTTGGAATTACATCATACAAACCCTTGTGAGTTTTAATTAAAGGATATTAGAAATGCCCTTACAATGCCCTGTTCAGTGATTCATTGCCAAGAGTAGTTGAAACAGAGTTATGAGATTAAAACAGCTCAGGCATTAGGAATTGAAATTTGTTTTTGTTTTTAATATTTAATTCAAAGTATTCTGGAAATGTTCAATGGAACGAATCAAAATTTTTAGAACTATTTCAATAGGTGGCCAAATCTTCAAATTATGCCATTATTTAAGACAGAGTTTCCTATTATCTTAAGTGGGTTTGGATTCTATTGTTTGGTTTCACCTTTCTTGATAATTTTAATGAGTGAAGTCTAGACCTTTTCCTTTCAGGGTTCCCAGGGTAAGATTTGGGGTTATTTCTGAAGGTACTTTGTCAGTAAAATGTGTGTGTGTGATGTGATATTAGATGAAGATAGCTCTGGTCTGGCACTCATTCCCTGGATGACCTTAGCTAAGTCTCTTTTCCTGTGTTTGCCTCAGTTTCCTCATCTATAAAACAAGGGACCATAACCATAGCATTGGGAAGAAGCATGTACATTAGATAGTTCAACTCTAGGGTGTGAATCCCTTATTCAACATCCTAGGAAACTAGCCATCTCATTTCAACATGAATCTACCCAGTGTGTTGCACCAAATGCTTTCCAAAACAGCCCATTCCCTTTTGTGGAGAGTGCTAACTTGCTCTGCTAGCCAAAGTGCCAGCTTGAAATTTTGTAAATGGAGAAAAGATAGTTGTTTATTTGCTTGCTTGCTTGCTTGTTTGTGTGTCTGATTTATAGAGGCTTACCCCTAATATAATTCAATATGACAAGGAGTTTTCACAAGTCCAAGAGTCTTGAATTTACCAATACTATCAATGATTTTCTTGCTTTTCTTTGGTTTATTTTTATTTGGCTTAGCTCCAAAATTTTCTCCCCAAAGCTCTTGGGTTTCATAGTTTTAAATGATTCCTTAGTCTGGAAGGGTGAGAAACATTATTTCCTACCAAATGCCACATTAACTCCTCAGAATACTGGTGGTGGCATAATCTGACCTGCCCTATGGTGGGAGACTCACACTCTAAGCACCTGCCTCTGGCCCCACGTGAGCCTACTTACTCCAAAATAAGTAGAATCAGGTCAGTGGATCTCTGGCCTTTGAGCTTTCTCTTCATCCAGCATCTGTAATATGGTTTGGCTCTGTGTCCCCACCCAAATCTCACCTCGGATTGTAATCTCCATAATCCCCACAGGTCAAGGGCAGGACCAGGTGGAGGTAATTGGATCATGGGGGCGGTTTCCCCCATGCTGTTCTCGTGATATGAAGGAGTCTCACGAGATCTGATGGTTTTACAAGCAGCTGGCATTTCCCCTGCTTGCACTCACTCCATCCTACCACCCTGGAAAGAAGGTGCCTGCTTCTCCTTTGCCTTCTGCCATGATTGTAAGTTTCCTGACGCCTCCCCAGCAACGTGGAACTGTGAGTCAGCTAAAACTCTTTCCTTTATAAATTACCCAGTCTCAGGTATTTCTTCAAAGCAGGGTAAGAACAAACTAATGCAATCAGTATACGTGAGAGTGACTATCAGTTATCTTACTCTCACAAATTTGGCCTCAGGATAATGCCTCAAAAACTCTTTCCAGAAGAAAGGATATGACAGAGAGTTGTAACCTGCCTTTCTCCTTGACTCGAGTCTCTGAAGATCTGGAGTCAGGCATGGCTAAGGCTGGCATTTCTGGGTCCTTTCTGTGTGGGTGCCATCTGATTAAGCATCTGTAGGTGTCAAAGCCTGGCTGACATCCAGACCTTTCCTTCTGGCTAGACTTCATTGGCCAAATGTGGCCTTTCAGCTCACATCTGTCCTCCAGGCTGGTCACACACTGGGTACTAGCAGTTTGGCAGACTGTACAAGCACAACAATTACAGCTGTCTCTGTGTGGTCCTGCACATCCAATCCTCTTAATTAGCTGGCTTGCTTTAAGTTCATTATTTGAAATCTTGCCCTTAACCCCAACAATGTAGTCCTCCCCAAAGAGGTTTTAAAGAACCTCTTTCTCTTTCATTAGATTATTTCTAGATACTTGATATATTTGCTCCTCTAACGATGTGTTTTCTTGAATTTCACTTTCTATTTGTTTCTGGTTTATGGAGATACAACTGGAGTTTTACAGTAAAACTCCGTGATACCATGCTCTGTAATAACGCAAATTTGGATATAAAGCCATTGGTGTTTGAGTCCTCTCTCTGGCCTCCATTCTCCCATAGGTATATTGGCTAAGGTTCTTCTCCTCTAAAGGCTGGAGGAACACAGTTAGAAAGTGACTGTTTTTCGCTCTGTAATCAAGTGTGACTTTCTTGGGTCCTTGTATGGATAACTGGGTACAGCATAAGTTTCATCTTTACTTTTGTACTCTGTGTGTCAGCACAGATGGCCTGAAATATTTTACTTTACACTAACCTCACCAGAAATGAACCCTCTCATTTTACTGATTGAATTTTTGGACCCCACATATAACACTGTAGTGGAGTGTTACAGTACATTGGTGTCATTTCCTGAAGACTTGCTAAGTTTGTTTAACATTTCTAATAATTCGCTACAGATTCTTTTAAATTTTCCGTATCATCTAAAAATAATGAAGTTTTTATTTATTCCTTTCCTTTCCTTACCCCCAATTTTATCTTCATTTCTGTAAAGAATATGTGTTTATAATGGACATCCTCATCATACAGCCAATATTAAAGGAATAGTTTCAGTATTTCTCCTTGCACATAATATTTGCTGTAAGTCATTTGTAAATACTTTTTATCAAATTAGGACCCTGCCAATTTCTTATTTGGTAAGAGTTTTTATTATAAATAGGTATTAAATTTTATTAAACATTTTTCTGCATCTACTGAAGTGATTGCATGATTAATTCTCTAATGTTACAACCTAAATACAACCTGAAGTTCCTTAAATCAGCAAGTAATTGCTATATAATATATAATGGTTTTCATCTTTTTTATGTGATGCTTGATCCAGTTTGCTGATATTTTGCATGGGATTTTTGTCTTTATTGTTATAATCAAGATTGCTCTCTTTCTTATACTGTCATGTGCTACCTCATAAAATGAGATGGGGAGTCTATTCTCTTTTTCAATTCCCTGGAGGAGTTGGAATAAGACTAGAATTATTTCTTGTTGAACATTACATAGCACTCACAAGTAATGTTATCAGTGTTTCAAGATTTCATTGAGGGGATATTTTGAAAAACACATTTAATTTATTTACTTATAGGATTTTCATGTTTTATCTATCTTGTGTCAATTGTATTAATTTGTATTTGCCTGGGAATTTCTTCATTTACTCTAAATTTTCAAAATTTTGGGCATAAAATTGTAATATCTTCTGGTTGTTTTAAAAAAGTATGTGAAGGCTCTGTAATGATGTTCGTTTTTTATTCCCGACATAAGCTATTTGTGTCTTCTCTCTTTTTTCTTGATCAGTTTTACCAGAGGTTAATCAATTATATTGGGCTTTTTTTTTTTCAGAAAAGCAAATTTTAACTTTATGGATTCTCACTATTATCTCTGTGTTTTCAATTTTATTAACTTCCATTTTCTTCCTTCTACTTTCTTTGGATTTGCTGTTTATTGCATTCTTCAACTGAACTCCATTTTTCTGGATTTTTTGGTCCATTTGTTCCATGAATTATGAAGAGATGTTTGTTAAAAATTTTTACATTGCAGATTTGTATATTTCTCCTTGGAGTCTGTCAGTTTTTGTTTTCATTTTTTTGAGGCATATTATTAGAAGCACACAAATATATCTTTCTTCTTAGAGACAGGGCTTCATTCTGTCATCCAGGCTGGGGTTCAGTGGCCTAATGGAAACTCACTGCATCCTCAAACTCCTGGGCTTAAGCAGTCCTCCCACCTCAGGCTCCCAAGTAGCTAGGACTACAGATGTATATTACCATGCCTAGCTCATTTATAAAAAAATAAAATTTAGGAGACAAGTCTTGCTATGTTGCCCAGGCTACTCTGGAAAGCCTGGCCTCAAGCAACCCTCCAACCTCGGCCTCCCAAAGCACTGGGATTGTAAATGTGAGCCACTGCACCCAGCCTACAAATATATCTTTCTGTTGAATGAGATCTTTTGCCATTATGAAGTTACTTTATCTCTAATAATGCTTTTATGTCTTAGATTCTACTTTGTCTGATATTAATATGGCTACATCAGTTTTCTTTTGATTAATAGTAGCATAGTATATCCATCTTCATCCCCTTTTTTCTATATTCTAATGTTTTAGATCTCTCTCATATAAACATTATAAAGTATGTTTTTTCAAAAAAAAATCCTGATAATTGGTTTCTAATAACTGGAGTTTTTGTCCACTTACACATAGGTAGTTAATGGTATATTTAGGTTTGATATCAACTGTCTCATTTTGTGCCTTCTATTTCTGTTCTAGGTTCTTCTTTCTCTCCATTTTTGTCTTCTTTTAGAGTAACTGTTATTATTTCATTGCTCTGAACCTCTACCAGTTTTGAAGATTATATCCGTGGCTTCCTTTTGAAATGGACACATTAGAAATTACAATATGAATCCTCAACTTTAAAATATAATATCAGACATTATTCTTCCTTACAGACAATTCAAGTAACTTATTTACTAGCATCTTAGCTTATATGCATTTCTTATGCAATAACTATTTTATTAATTTCATTTTAATATCTCTTCTTTATTTTTTTCTTGCATCTCAGACTTTCCACCAGCGACCACTTTCCTTCTACTTGAAGTTTCCTTTAGTGAGGACCTGATGGTAGCAAACTACCTCCACTTTTGATTGTGTGAAAAAAAAGTGTTTAATGTTGCCTTTATTCTTAAGAGATATTTTAACATAAAATACTGGATTAACAATTACTTTCCTTTATCACATGGAAGATCCTCTGGCTTCTAGCTTCTGTTTTATTGTTGAGACATTGGCTTTCATTCTAGACAGGGGTCAGCAAATTACATGCCCTGGCCAAATCCAGCCTACAGCCTACCTGAGTGAAGTTTTACTGTACAGCAACCATGCCCATTCATTTCCACATTGGCTATGGCTGTCCTCACATTATCACGGGAGAGTTGAGTATTTGTAACAAAGACCACATGGCCTTCAGAGCACAAAGCAACTACTTCTTGGCCCTTTTTAAAGAAAGCTTGCTCACCCCTAGTTTAGCAGCCACTCACTTTGAAAGCCATTTATTTTCTCTGGTTTCTTCAAGGATTTCTCTCTTTCATTTTCTCCATTTTCACTACAGTATGCCTCTTTCTATTTATCCTTCTTGAACTGTTTTGGGTATCTTGAATTTGTTGACTAATACCTAATATCAGTGCTTAAAAATTCTGAATCATTCTCTCTGTTAGCTATCTATTAGTGCATATAAAATTCACCAATTAGCTGCTAAGACAATAAACATTTATTATATCTCACAGTTTCTGTGGAAAGGAAATTTGGGAGTGACCTGGCTGAGCAGCTCTTGCTCAGGAGCTCTCATAGGCTGCTTTCACACATCAGCTGAGGCTGTATTCAGTTAATACTGAAGGATTGCCTGGCATTGGAGGATCCACAGTGAGTAATTCACATGGCTGGCAAGGTGGTACTGGCTGTTGGTGGAAAGCCTCCATTTCTCTTCAGATGAGCCTCTCCACCCAGCATGGTGGCCTCATGAGATGATGACTGGCTTCCCACAGAGCAAGTATTCCAGGATAGAGAGAGAGTAGGCAAAAGCTACTCTTTTAAAGATGTAGCTTTGGACACAGTATCATTGATATCACATTCTATTCATTAGAAGAAAATCACTAAATCTTGTCTATACTCAAAAAAGAGGTAAATTAGGCTCCATCCAGTAAAAAGAGGAGTACCAAAGAATATGAACCAATTTTAAGACCACCCATTCTTTTTTTGTTGTTATTGAGATAGAATCTCACTCCATCACCCAGGCTGGAGTACAGTGGCGTGATCTCAGCTCACTGCAACCTCAGCCTCCTGGGATCAAGGGATTCTCATGCCTCGGCCACCCACGTAACTGGGATTACAGGTGTGCACCACCATGCCAGGCTAATTTTTATATTTTTAGTAGAGATGGGGTTTCACCCTGTTGGCTAGGCTGATTTCGAACTCCTGAACTCAAGTGATCCACCCGCCTCAGCCTCCCAAAGTGCCAGGATTACAGGTGTGAGCCACCACACCTGGGCCCCATTATTCTTTATAATATTTTTCCCCACTCTTATTTTCTGTTGCTCCACTTTGTTTTTGAATTTCAATTAAATGTAGGTTAAGCTTTCTCATTGTATCTATGTCTCTTACCTTTTCTTCTGTGTTTTCTATCTCTTTTTACTGTGTTACACTATAGATAATTTTCTCTGTCCAATCTTTCAGTTAATCAATTATATTATTAACCATATCAAGTCTGCTATTAACCTCATGAGGTTTTCAAGTTCAGTCATTTCATTTCAGAAAACTTTTTGTTAATCCAAAAATGAATTGTGTCCATATATTTCATTTGGTTCATTTTCAAATCTACTAAATCACTTCCTGCAATATCTTATTTCTTGCAAATAACTTTGTTTTGCTTTACATTTCTTTAAACATAATTATCAATTTTGTTTCCAGATCTGTCTCTGCTAATGTCAATATCTGAAGTCCTTGTGGAATTTTGTATGCTTTCTCTGCTGATTTTATTTAAGGAGGCTAATTTTCTCATATGCTTGAATCTTCAGTTAAATACTAAACAATTTTAGTATTTAAAGAATTGTTCTGTTCTGCCCTATACACAGGGAACACTCTGAGTCTACAAACACCTTAAAACCAGCTCAAGATTTGAAATTCTGGGAAAACACAGAAGATTCAGTCCCTGGCTGTAATTCCTCAAAAGAGCTTTCCTACTTCTTCTTCCCTCTCTCTCTCAGTGGTTAGAGACTTTGAGAATTGTAGGTGAGTGTGATCAGAGGATTGGCTAGACTCCTACTTTATGACAAGATGTTTATGTTTGTCCATCTTACCCCAGAGGGTAATCAGATAACATCCTTGAGGGAACAATGTAATTAAAAATTAGAACTGAGATTGAACCAAGGCTCTTATGTTTCTCCTATGCCATACCTGATCTCTACAATCAATAACTGGTAATGTTGGACAGTGATGATTATGGTATTGCCTTTTCTTTCTCTTCTCCCACAACAGAGCCTCCAGGGGAATGTCCTACTCAGCAATATCAAGTCATATAAGAACTTAGGTATGCTGGTGAAAGGAGTTCATAGATGCTGAAGGCAGAAGCTCTGCCCTTTACTATCTAGGCTGCCAGTGAACAGAAGTAAAACCTTCAATCTGAGTAATATGAGGGGTGCTAGCTGACTACTGGGAGAACAATCGTGTACCTTCTGAGACAGGGCTGCCACTACTGCAGAAATATAACAGCACTGTCTCTAAAATAACAGGGTATTTTTTCATGGTGCATGTCAGCAGGGCATCTGACTGATATACCGCATTGTTTTCAATCATGGTTTTATGAGGTCCCCATTAAACATTGAAAACCAAGCTATATAATTAGAACAGTAATTAGTCTGAAGCAGCCTCTGTGCCTTATCCCCTTTAAAGTTTTTAAGTAAAGCAAGGATGATGAATATTTAATATACTGTACCTCATTGTCATCTGATAATAAGATTTGTTATAGGGTTATAAAATGTTATGTTAGGTTCTTACAGCACATCATTAATATTGTAAAATGTAGCTGGCCTCCCAGGCAGAGCTGTCTGACAGAAAAACAATAGAAAGATAAGTGATATCAACCATTTTCTCCAAGGGCTTAGAAGACAACCAAGAGGTCAAAAGATGTTTTTAGTGCATTTGATATACATTAAAGAGAAAAGAAGGGAGAAGACAATGAGGAAAGTAAAAGAGAACAAACACACAGAGGTAAAAACACACACAGGAAAACACACAGAGGAAATTTCCAAAAACATACAGAAAACAAAGAAAAGAGGTAGAGAGGTGATTAGTTGTGGGAAGAATTCAAAGATCAGGTAGAAAGTTGGATGGAATAAACATTAGTTTTTTGATACATTTAGATACTAGGATTCCATGTTCCCTTAAAAGGGGGTTAGTATATCTCACCCCATAATATGCCACTTTGACATAATAATGATTTTGAGCTGGAAGCAACTGAGACAAATCAGACATAGGAAGAGTTCTCTATCCTTCCCCATCTGCCTAAAAGCAGGGCATAAATTTTCCTTGTTAAACAGGTGTCCCTTCTTTCCCATATCAGAAAGAGGAGTGCCAAAATGAGTCTATATAAAGAAATGTTGCTAAAGAACTCTTATCTACCATTAGTTTCCTCCATATATGTTCTATTGACCCTAGAAGTCCAAACTCCTTTCCTTTTTCTAGGCTCTTCTCCACAACTTATCACCCTTTGTTAAAATTGTATATAAACCCCAGAGTACAACTGCCTCTTTGGATTTTTCACTTCTTTTCTGTGAAGCCCTCATGCACCTAAAATTAAAAATATTAGCATCAATAAAATACATGTGTTTTTTTCTTGCTAATTGTTCTTTTATGAGTTTAATTATCTGACCCCGGTTATAAAAACCTAAATGTGTACAGAAATAGTTTTTCCTTCCTTACACCTTATGTTTGAAACTATAGCCATAGGGACCTCATGAAGCAATTTATTCTACCTCATGGATTCTCTGAAATAATCCAGTAGCCCTTCCAAATGATTGCTGCTATCCACAGAGTAAACTCTGACAATAAAATAAGTATTGCTTGGCAATAGCAATAGTAAACCAAGATTAGAGTTTAGACATTGTTATTTACTTCTGGTCCATTTCTGTCAACTACATAAACAGGCTAAAGTTTAAAAGTGATAACCAAAATCTAATTTAGGGCCATAACTTTCAAACCATTAACATCAGAAGGGACCTTGGCAATTATAACAGTCTATAGTAGTTAGGAGTATGACCTTAGAAGAGAGAGAAATTCATGTTTCATGCCTAACATACATTAGCTGTGTGACTGTAGACTTCCTAGGCATCACTCTCCTCATCTGTACAGCTTACAGTTGATAATAACTAAGATTATGCAAGTAATGCACTTAACACAATGACTGCTTGTTTTAAATAATAAATATGAACACTGATGCTGACAGTGAAAAAGAGGAAAAGAAGACGAAATTATCCAACTTGCTATTTTACAAATAAGAAAATTAAGGCCCAGAGAGGAGAGATAACTTGTTAGAGACAACATAGCCTATTATTGCTGAAACAGAGGGCAGAGTCAAAAATCTCTTTTTCACTGTAAGCTACAATTTATGGCTCTTATTATGTATCTATGTTGGCATTAGGTGCATTAGGATCAATAAAAAAAGAAATACACAACATGGTCTTTAATGTCAAGAAATAAGATTATCTATTGAACACTGGGAGAATATAAAATTTATGCCATGACTAACATTTATTTAATAAGTATTATAGAAATTACATATGTCTGCAAAAACTTATGAAATTGAGAGAAAAATTTTTATGCTATAATGCAAAATTTAAAAGAAAATAACATTATGTGTAGATATATAAGAAAGGAAAAAAAAAGACCAGAATAAAAGATACCAAAATAATGACAATGATTTTTTTCTCTAAGTGGTTTTCTTCTTCATCATGCTTTTAACATATTTTCCATAATTTCTACCAATGCACATATTACTTTCTAGAATTATAAGAAAGATACGTTTTGTCTCACCAAAGGAACATTACATACAGTGGGAAAAGTGTCTATTCACAATAACAACTACAGCATATATAAAATATCCAGAAATACAAGTTTAAAGAAGGTTATAAGACTTATATAAATAAAACAAAATAACCCCTAAGACAATATTATATTGTACTGACTCCTATAAAAAATTTCTCCAGAAAATAAAGCTCTTCTAAACTTCATCTAGCATTCAAAAACTATAATAATTAGAAAAAAATAATTTAAGACTAAAGAAAATACAGATAATTTTTCAGTCATCTGATTGACCAGGTTGAAACAGACAGACAATGCCCAGTGCTGGCACTTTTGGTGGACATGTACTACCTTTCTAAAGGAAAGTTTGGCAATATGCATGAACATTTCAAATGGGTATGCTCTCTGACCTGTTGACTCTCAATGTTAGTAATTTAAGGAGATAATCAGACGTGTACAGAAAAGGTTGGGGAAGCACTGTTGTGTTCACATAGAAGGAAAGAACAACCTAAAAACAACTAAGCATGGCCACCATGAATTAAATTATTGAGTAAATAAATCATAGTTCATTCATACGAAGGAATTTTAAGTAGCCACTAAAAACTGTATGGCTCTAAACTCATGGCATTTTGTTAAATGGAAGGGGAGATTACAAAATAACACGTGTAACATGTAATACTTATGTGAAATTACAAACACACTGAGAAATATTTGGGAAAAGGGCCATTTCACAATGTTGAGATTTTGAGTTTGGGGGTTTTTGTTTGTTTCTTACTTATACTTTTTTATTGTTCATTTTTCCCAATAAGCTTGAATCATGTTCATAATCATAAATAAACTACAAAGTTCATTTCATGTTGGAAAAAAAATAGTATTTTCAGTGAAGAGACAGGAAAACAATAGAGTGAGTCAATGTAATCTAAGGAGAAAAGATGAATCTAAAATCTTTGTTTTGCTAAATTACTTCAATCTCCTCCTTTGTCAAAACTTATCAAAGAGTCCAGGGAGTTAGTAAGCTGATTAGTTTACAAATGTTCTTTATCTTCTCTAGAAACTATAGCAATTTTAATGAGCAGGAAAATGTCCAAAAAAGGAAGAAAAATAGGCTATCCAACTCTGGGTAAGATATGAAGATAACTTCTCTAGGGTCCTAAGAGATGGGAAGATAAGATAATCTGAACCTAAAGAGAGATTTGGAGTTGGTTTGAGAAAGAATATTCAAGCTCAGAATCCCTGGAGATCTTCAAGCAGAGCTGGACCACTACTTGTTGAAGATGTTTTACAGGAAATAGGCTTATCAGAGTAGGCACTGGACTAGATGATCTCTGAGTTACATTCTAATCTAAAACTGACTCTGTTTCTCTGTAGCACTTAAAAAAAATTCCAAGAAAATGGTGGCTTGAATGCAATTCCTTTACTCTCCTCAATTCAAATCATTTTATTTCATTGATATCAAAGCCTGGGGCTCTGGTGGCTGAGTGCAAATTGGTAAGAGACCCAGGGTGCATACAATTTATCAGCCTTTGTTAAAATTATATATAAGCCCCAGAGTGTAACTGCTTCTTTGGGAGAATAAAAGGGAAGGCTTTCTTTGTTATGTACTAGAAAGACATGTTAAGACTACTGTCAGAACAAGGAAATAAAGATTTACTTCTCTTAAGAAAAAAAGAGAGAGAGAGCCTTGGGAGAAGGATTTCAACTAAAATGTGGATCTTGGGAATGTTTGGCTTACAGAGATCTGTGGACCCAGGGGACAGATAAACAGAGGCCCTAGTGTCTATCAGATATCTCAGGCTCCTCGAAAAAATGTTAACAGGTGAGTGAAGCATTCCCACCCTTCAGGCTGAGTGAGTACAAGAGACAGGAAAGCAGGGAGATGTACTCCAGGTTAACAATACCTCAGAGCAGCATAGCAGCCAGAGACAGAAAGATCAATCAAAACAAACAAAACACAGAACCAACCTTTGATAGATGCTAGAAGAGACAGATGACAATTTGAAAAGAAAAAAAAATAAGAGCTTAGGGATATCTGTGTATACCCCCTTTAGCTTCTACTCCCATTCCTCAGGAGTACTTTCCAGAAATAAAAGAAATAGTTTCCAACTAAACTATTTAGGAGATGAATTAGGGGAGAAGATGTTCAAGATCACTGCTGAGACATGATTTAGTGGCCTAAAAAAATTTAGAGTGTGAAGAAATACATAAAAAGATAAACATCACAAGACAAAAAAGATGAAAATGAATTGGAGGAGGACTATGAGAGATTTAACATACAAATCAAAAGAGCTCTAGAAGATGTGTTTTTTAATTATTGTGGATGCATAGTAGTTGTACATATTTATAGAGTACATGTGATATTTTGATACAAGCATATAATATGAAATGATAAAATCAGGATGATCAGGATATTCATCACTTCAAGGATTTATCATTTCTTAGTGTTAATAACATTTCAGTCCCACTCTTTTAGTTATTTTGAAGTGTACAGTAAAATATTTTTAACAATAAGATCTATTGTGCTACCTAAAACTAGATCTTATTCTATTTGAGTCTATTTTTGTACACTTTAGCCATTCCCTCTTTACCCACCTCTCCCTATTACCTTTCTAGCCTTTGGTAACCATAATTCTTCTCTCTATCTCCATGAGTTGAATTTCTTTTTTAGCTCCCACATTTGAGTGAGAACACACAAAGTTGTCTTTCTGCACCTTTCTTATTTCACTTAACATAAGGTTCTCCAGATCTATCCATGTTGCTGCAAATGACAGGATTTCATTTTTTATGGCTCAATAATATTCCATTGTGGGTATGTACCACATTTTCTTTATCCATTCATCTGTTAATGGACACACAGGTTGATTCCATATCTTGGCTATTGTGAATAGTACTGCAATAAACATGGGTGTGCATGTATCTCTTTGATATCCCAGTTTTCTTTCTTTTGGGTATATATGCAGCAGTGGGATTGCTAGATCATATGATAGATATAAATAGAGACAACAACAATTCAAAAATTGAGAGGGATGGAGTTAAATTGTAGAGTTTTTTGTTTTGTTTTTTTTTGTTTTTCGCATTTCAAGTTTATTAAAACTTTAGCAGCACGAGTTATCCAGATTGCAGATTATCAAAAGATCAACTCAATGAAATCCACATTTTAAAAAAAGGGGCAAGCATAAAACAACCCAAAAACAATGAAAAGGAAAACAACATAAAGAAGATTCACTAGCAAGTCTCTCAAACTTAAAATTCAAAACAGAACGGAAATAAGTTTATATAACTCACTCATCCACTTTTGTCTTCATATGTTTCAGGGCTTGATTCATAATCAAATTTTTTTTCTTTCACGTACATGGTCACTTTCTTGACCCTTTGATTCTTGGTTTTCTTTTTCCACTGAGGATCTGATCTTCTCATCCTCCTTATTTTTCAATGTGGAGGACTTTAATTCATTGTTCTGACTGCTTTGTTTTATTTTTGAGAAGAGACTTTTATCTATATCAGCCTTTTTTTCCCCTGCTATTATTTGAGCTATTATGATCATGACTTTTACAGTACATTCTTTTCTCACTCTCAGAATTTTCTTTCTGTGTGAACTCTTACTTTCTTGGTTTCTGTGTTTTTCTTTGTTTCTGTTTTTACTTTCTTCTGTCTCTGAGCTCCGTGAGTCTCTCCTCCTTCTACCCCTATCTCTACTTCTTGATCTTCCTGGTGGTGTTCTTCTCCCTCGGCTTTGTGACTGTCCTCTCCTCCTGTATTCCTTTCCTCTGTATCTATGGTGCTCCTTGCTTCTGCTGCAATCTCTGTCATGGCTTCTTGATCACACTCTTCTGCTTCTGTCCCTACTTCTGCTTTGCTGTTCTGTTCTGCTATTATAACTGTGTTTACCTTCAGTTATATCACATTCTCTACTCCTGGATTGTGCACATCTATCCTTTTCCTTAGTTTTACTATGATCATGCTCATTACTCTTTGATTCTAACTGTTTAGACTTCTCTTTACTTCTACCCCTTTCCTGATCGTTTCCTTTTGAATCAAGCTCCTTTTCTTTTTCTTTAACATTCTCATGATCCCTTCCTTTGCTCCTTGACCTCATCCTCTTTTCTTCATGTCTATTATGTCTTGAATCTCCTTCTTTACTCTTTGATTTCTTTTTGCTCTTACTCTTAATTTTAGATTTGGCCCTTTTCTTCACTTTGTTCGTATTGTATTTATCATCTTTTTTTGAATTTCTTCAGATGTCTCTCTTTGCTGTTAGATTTACAGTCTTTAACTTTCTTTTCCTTTTCATTTTTTCTGTTTGGACTCTCAGATACATTCCTGTGGTTAGTTATTTTTCTCTCTTTTACTCTAACTAGACTTCTCTGATTTTCTTTTATTTCATTCAACTCACTCTTATCCCCTTTGATCCATCTTTCACCACTTGATACCCTCATCCTTTGAGCTCTCGGCATCTCTTGCCTCCAATGTGCAGGAGTCTCACTAAGTCTGAAACAATCCCTTGATCTGGATCTGGAAGGAGTTTGATAGCACCTTGATCCTCTTCCTTTAATTCTCCTGCCAGATCTAGTAACTAAAAGTCGTCTCTGGTATGAAGCAGGCTGGGAGTTAGATAGATTACATTCTCTTTCTCTTTTTCTCTCTCTCTCTGGCTTTTCCTTTCCATTGCATCAGCTATAGGAGGACTTTTTCTCATCAGGAAATCTATTTTCAGGTATAGGAGGGATCTTTTCTGGATGGACAGTAGACTGGGGTTGTGCTCTAAGATTTTCAGCTTCACTCTTACTAGATTCACTCTTCTTGCTTTTCTTTCACTTCTTCTTTTCCTTCTTGTGTTTTTGGGAATTTTTCCTAAGTTTTTTCCTCTTTTCTTTGATTTCTCTTCAGAAGCATTTTCGGAATCACAGGAATCAGGTGAGAACTGAGAATCATTTGAGCTATCTTAGTCACTAGATCATGAGGAGGAAGATGATGATGATTTATACATTTTCTTTTCTTCTTTCTTAACTTTAGATTTGGGAATCAGCTCTCCACAACTGAGTATCTGTACCTCTGTAAATGCTTTGCTAGCGGCATCCATCTTGTGGTTTTCTATCTCTCTCACAACTTCTTGGCTAGAGATTACTTGCCCAAAAACAACATGATGCCCATCTAAATGAAGAGTTGGTTTCATTGTTATGAAGAACTGTAAACCATTTGTATCCTTCCTTCTGTTGGCCATTGACAAGAGAAATTCTTTGTTGTTTTTAACAGCAAAATTCTCATCTTCAAAAAATTCTTCTTAGATAGATTCCCCTCCTCGTCCATTTCCTTCACTGAAGTCAGCACCTTAAACCATAAAATCCTTGACAACTCTGAAAGAGACAACTCTTACAATGTAATGGCTCTGAGTTGATTTCCCTGTCCCCCTTTCACCTGTACAAAGACAACTAAACTTCTCACGTGTTTTGGGGCACACATCAGAAAATAATTCAAAGACAACTCTTCCAGCAGGTTGTTAATGGCAATGTCAAAAAAAAAAAAATCGAGGACATTGAATCTTTATTCCCATGGCTCCAATACTTAATCTTCAAATGAAGGCAAGACCAAAAAAAAAAAAACAAGGACAACTGATCCCTTGGCTCTTGCACTGGTAGAGTTTCCTCTTCTTTTGGTCCAATCCTTTAAACCGCTTCATATCTACCCCCTCCAGAAAAGGAGCTAAAGCCCGCTAACTGCCTCCCTCCTCGACAGTTGAGTCCTAATTTTAGAGTTTCTTTTTTCTTAGTTTTTTCTTTATTTGCTTGTTTTTTCTATTCTTTGTAATCAGAGTTGTCATCAGTTTAAAATAATTGATTATAAGATGTTATTTGCAAGCTTCACATTAACCACAAAACAAAAACATATAATACACACAAAATAAAAAGCAAGAAATTAAAACATACTGTCAGAAAAAAATTACTTTTATACAAAGGAAGTCAGGAGGAAAGGATAAAAGAAAGAGAGGATCAACAAAACAACCAGAAAACAAATAAAATGGCAGTAGCAAGTCCTTGACTATCAATAATAACACTGAATAGAAATGGGGTAAATTATAAATTATCTAATCAAAAGACATGAAGAGTCTGAATAAAACACACACACACACAAGACCCAACTATATGCTACCTACAGGAAATTTACTTCATGTATGAAGACACAGATGGGCTAAAAATAAAGAAATGGAAAAAGACAATTCAAGCAAATGGAAACCGAAAAAAAAGCAGTATATCTACTTATCAGACAAAGTAGATTTGAAGACAAAAACTATAAAAAGATATAAGGTGCTTATATAACTATAAAGCGGTCAATTCATCAAGGGGGATATAAAAATTGTAAGCATATATGTGGAAAATATTTGCATTTGAAACACAAATAAAAGGAGCCTCAGAAATGGAAGAAAGGTAAAAATTTAAAAATTTTTAAAAAGACAGAAAATCTATAACTTTAATGAATTTCTAATCAAAATTTAAACAGGATTTCCATAGAAATAGAAAAATGGATTTTAAAATTTATACAGAAATGCAAACACTTTGTAATAATTAATGAAAATTCTAAATAAATGATGAAGACTACTCAAATGAGAACAACCAAAGCCTATTCATTTGGAGCTTGCCATAGTAAGAGAGTCAGCCACTACCACTTGTATTTGGCAGAAACACAAAGCAGGCAAGGGAGCTGGAATAGCATTAACCATTAGAATAGCTAAAATTAAAAAGCCTGAAAATAGCATGCAATGGTGAGGATGTAGAACAAATAGAACTCTTACAACACAGCTGGTAGGAACATAAAATAGTACAACCACTTGGATATCAGTTTGGCAGTCTCCTAAAAGTTAAACATAAACTTACTGTACTGCCCAACCATTCTACTTCTAAATAGTTAACAGAATTAAAAATATATTTACACAAAACATCATACATAAATGTTCATAGCCAATTTATTTGTAATTGCTAATCATTGGAGATAATTAAAATGTCTCTCAACAGATCCATATTGTGAAAAGAAAATAAATCTTAGGGCCCCAAAATCACTAAGCTAAAGGGAAAAGTCAAGATGGGAACTACATAAGGCAAACCTGCCTTCCCATTCTATTTAGTCATCTTTCTGCTCACTGAGATAAATGCACATCTGATTGCCTCCGTTGGAAAGGCTAATCAGAAACTCAAAGTATGCAACCATTTGTCTCTCACCTACCTGTGACCTGGAAGCCCCACCCCTGCTTCCAGTTGTCCTGTCTTTCCAGACCGACCCAATGTTCATCTTGCATATGTTGATTGATGTCTCATGTTTCCCTAAAATGTATAAAACCAAGCTGTGCTCTGACCACCTTGGACACATGTTGTTAGGACCTCCTGAAGCTAAGTCACAGGCACACATCATCAACCTTGGCAAAATAAACTTTCTAAATTAACTGAGACCTGTCTCAGATATTTGGGGTTCATAATAGATAAACAAAATGGGATATTTTCATCCAAGAGAACATTCTTCAACAAACAAAACAATCAACACAGATAACAAACAAATTCTGAATTAAAGGATC
Organism: Homo sapiens; assembly: GCF_000001405.40. Taxonomy (NCBI): domain Eukaryota; kingdom Metazoa; phylum Chordata; class Mammalia; order Primates; family Hominidae; genus Homo; species Homo sapiens. The sequence goes on along the minus strand of NC_000005.10, from coordinate 155,489,325 downwards.
TGATTTAAAGGATCTACATGGCACATACTCTAAAATCGACCACATAACTGGACATAAAAACATTCTCAGCAAATGCAAAAGAACTGAAATCATACCAAACACTCTCAGGTCACAACACAATAAAAATAGAAGTCAAGACAAAAAAATCACTCAAAACCATGCAATTATATGGAAATTAAGCATGTTCCTGAATGACTTTTGGGTAAATAATGAAATTAAGGCAGAAATCACAAAGTCCTTTGAAAATAATGAAACAAAGATACAACATACCAGAATCTCTGGGACACAGCTAAGGTGGTGTTAAAAGGGAAATTCATAGCACTAAATGCCCACATCAAAAAGTTAGAAAGATCTCAAATTCACAACTTCACAACTGAAAGAATTTGAAAAGCAAGAGCACATCAACCCCAAAGCTAGCAGAAAATGAAAAATAACAAAAACCAGAGCTGAACTGAAAGAAATCGAGACACACAAAGCCATTCAAAAGATCAACGAATCCAGGAGTTGGGTTTTTGTGAAGAAATTAATAAAATACATATACAAAATGAACTTCTAATTTACAATTACAAGGTAAAGATATAACAGAGGGGGAAAAAAGAAAAACAAATTCTGCAAGAAAAAGTAGGTGACTTCATACATATTCTCATGGTAAAGCAGATTCCTTTATCTAAAACTAGAAAATAAAGTGTTCTGAAAACCATTTCTAGCCATATAAAAGTTCAAACATTTATAGCAAAAGACATTGTCTTAGTCCATTCAGGCTACTATAACAGAATACCAGAGACTGGGTGCCTTATAAACAACAGAAATTTATTTCTTACAGTTCTGGAGGCTGGGAAGACCAAGATCACGGCACTGGTGGATTTGGTGTTTGGTGAAGGCCTACGTCCTAGTTCACAGAGGGCCATGTTTTCACTGTATAATCACATGGTGGAAGGGATGAACAAGCTCTCTGGGTTCTCTTTTATAAGGGAACAAATCCCATTCTTAATGGGACTTGATACCTTCCCAAAGGGCTCATCTTCCAATATCACCACCTTAGAGATTTGGTTTCAACCTAGGAATCTGGACGGATGAAAACATTCAGTCCATAGCAAACACTATAATCAAATTCCAGTGCTGAAAAGTGAAAATGGGTGCCTGTAATGTATTTTTAATCTCTTTTACATTGACAAGACGGAAAATTACCAAGAGAAAAGTATGTGAGATTGTGAATAGGAATTCACAAAGGACAAATCCAAATAGCCAATAGAATGTAGAAAAAGGCTTAAAATCTCTACCAGTCAGGAACGTGTGAACAACTAATCCAACAATGAGTTATGATTTTACAAACATTAGACTGGCAAAAGACCAATAACAATTCTTGCTAGTGTAGACTTGGGAAGGAAAAGTTTATTCTTGCACACTTCTGATAAAATGTAAATTATTCCTGTTTTTTGGAATACATTCTAGAAACATTTATTACAATTAAAAATATATATACTCTTGACTCAGTAATTCTACTCTTGGGAATTTGTTCCATAAAAATAAAAGTTTCACTACATAAAGATATATTTTTAATGATATTTGATGCAACATTGTTTGAAGTGGGGGGAAAAAAGATAAAAAAACACTGAACAAAAAACATTCACCAATTGAGGAAAGGCTGGCAAAATTGTAACCATTCACACCATAAAATAGTATGCTACCATGATAAGTAATCAATTAGAACTTCAACAAGATTTCACTGACGAAAACGAGATCCAGAAAAGTCTGCATATCAGTCGAGAATGTGTTTGACTGTAAAGAAAAGAAAACTCACTGATCATGGTTTAAGCAAATTGGGGTTTATTTTGGAAATCCCAAGGTCAGCAGTTGCTGGTATTAATTCAGCCACTGAAAATGCTATCAGGCACTCAGCCTGATATTTCCATCATGCCACCATTAACATTACAGCTTTTATCCTCACATGTGTCCCATCATGGTCCAAAGATGATATTGTCATTTCAGGTTTTATTTCCACTTTCCAAGATGGATCAAGGGAAAACAACAACAACAGCCAAATTTATCCCATTTATTAAGAAAGAAAACTTTCCTAGAAATCCTTGCAATAGATTTCCTCTTGGGTATAGTTGACCAGCACAGGGACATTTGCCTACCCTACCACTCAGCACCAAAGACATTCGCTGTGACTTCAAATGTTAAGCTTTCCAGCCTCTATTAGTAAAGGAAGGGTCAGGAAAAGATATTTTATAATTTGCAAATATTGTAAAAATATATTTGTGTACTATAATCTTATTTTTATAAATCAATGACAAAATTCTATGAATATGCATATGTGTTTTTGTCTATGATTATATGAGCTTGAAGGAAAATATAGACACATACCTACTAAGCCTTTATGTGGATTTCCTCAAGATAGGTAATATGGATAGAGAAGGCATGAAGACAGAAAGCAAGCCAAAATAAAACATTGTTAACTATGATGTGATCTTATGCATGCATTTAAATAAAATAAGATATATATAAATATTTTTAAATGTTTCCAGCATATCTTTAAAGATAGTAATTTACATCACAGTATGCATAATGAGGACCATTTCATTTGTTATAAAATACATAAACTTATATGTGCCTGGAAAAATAATATCCAACATTCATTGAGCTCTTACTTTGTGCCATACATATTTATACAAATGACTTACCTATTTTAATCCTCTCAACAATGCTATAAGTAACTAGTGCTATCCCCAGTTTACAGATATGAAAAGTAAGGCTTAAAGGAGTTCAGTGGCTCACCCAAATAACACAACAGGTGAGTGAAAGATGATGTATGTTCTTTCACTCACCTGTTGTGTGGTGGGGGGAGGGGGGAGGGATAGCATTAGGCGATATACCTAATGCTAAATGACGAGTTAATGGGTGCAACACACCAACATGGCACATGTATACATATGTAACAAACCTGCACGTTGTGCACGTGTACCCTAAAACTTAAAGTATAATAATAATAAAATTAAAAAAAAAAAGAACATACATCATATTAACATCGCTCACCTCTGGAAGTGGAATAAGGATAGGGTTGGGGAAAGAGGAAGAGAGGTATACACTTTTCCCTTTATTTACACAGAACATCTTCACTATTTTTTGATGAGTTTGTGTTTTATAAACAAGTTGAGATTTCAACAAAAAATTGCAGCCAATTTTACCCCTTTTATTAGGACCTACACTTAACCACAGCAGTGAGGAAATTTTATTTCCTTTTCTATACTGTTTCTATATTTAAATTTATTTTCTCCACTTACCTTCCTATATCACTTTTTCTTTACTTTTATTCCTGCCTCCTAATAACATTGTTTAGTCTCCTCAATATTTCTCCAATTCTCATCTTCAGAGTAAGATACATTATATCTCCCATCCCCTCACATGCACAGAAAGAAATCCTAGGGAGAAGAACAGAAACCAAGCTCTCTTCTCAAGCTTAGAGAGGATTACACATGTCAGAGAAATGCATTTTGATGTAAAACAGATCTGAATGCAAACTCCAGAGAACTGAACTGTCAAGCATTATTTGAGGAGGGTGATCAGGCAATGTGCCTGGGGTCCCATCAGATAGAATTCATTGTCATACATGGTAAGAAGGAAGCAGAACTAAGAGAATGTGGATACACTCAAAGTCCCTGTATTAAACAGAGATTGGAATGCTACACTCCAGTGTCAAATCCCACAAGTCTGGAGAAAAATTTTGACTCAGAGAGAGAAAATCTCTTCAGCCTCTTAAGTCACTAGATCCCTGCCTCCGCTTAGCTCCTGACTTTGAGCATGTTCCAAGCTTCTGTTGGAAATTGCAATGGGGAGTGGATTAAGCACAGCTGGGCTTTCACACTTAAACCTTGAGCATTAACGGTTCAGCAAAGCAAGGTTTTCCCATTAGAACTACTGTACTTCCAAGTCCAAACTATTGATAAGCTCCCAAGTTTAGTCCATCTGTAAGAAATATGCAAGCATGTTGCCCATAAACTGGAGCACACATCTTAAAGTGGAATCAGAGTCAAGGAAAACAGCCAAGTTGAAACTGTCTTGACTAAACAAATAGTATTTCTCACACATTGCTGAGGTAAAAAGAATAAAAGTCTTCTCAACACCAACTTATCAAATACAGTAACAATTGAACACTTAAGGGATGGGAAAGATCGCCATTAAATGCAACTGTTTTTTAAAAAGACTCCAAAAACACACATAAAAAAAGTGTGAATATTCTCCTCTTAATAAAATAATATCTAGAATGCATTTTCAAAAAGTTTGATAATTTAGCTTCAATTCATTATGATTATAATAAATGCATAGAGATATTATTATCCGTAGTGGTCTCAGTTTTAAAAATCTTACTATATTTACAACTTGTTGGAAGATGCTGTGTGAGATTTCATCCTAGTTTGGAATATCTAGGGGCTCATATTTTCCTTTATAATTTTTACCTTGAAATTTACCTGAATTCTCAAAAGACCACAAGAAGTGAGATTTAGAAAATGGGAAACATTCCATAAAAGTATTACTAAAATAATCTAAAATTATGTTTCACTAGTGTAAAGGGAAATCCACTAAGACTCGCCTAGAGGCTAACATTTCTCCATTGTTACTAAAATTTTCTAGGAATAACTTTTAATAATTTAGGTTCCCTGTGAGTGGCCTTATCATGGGATAAGGGAAGGGAAGGCATTGAACACTGAGAAGAGAGGTGAATGGATGCAAAGACAAGCACAATAAACAGGTGCTGATAATGAGAAGCAATTGAAGAAAAATAACAGTAGGAAAATAACAATAATAATAGAAGTTATAAATTAAATCGAATAGACAAAGCTTACCAATCTTTAGTTACCCACCATGGGCTAGTTATGACATCAAGTGTTTTCCTTGTAAACCTCACATGAACACCTTTATTCCTTCTATTTGGAATATGAGAAAACTGGGTCTGAGGGAGGAGCTTGCCCTTGGTCACACAGCTAGCAAGTGGCATAGGTGAAATAAAATATCTATCCTGTCTGATTCTAAAGCCTTGCTTAGAATCACCTGACAGAAAGAGATGCTGCTTAATATTAGCTAGAAAGATAAAGAGGGTAGAAAATAGTTGTACAACCTATGTGCAAGAGAAGGAGAGGAGAGTTGAAAACTTGACGAAGAAGGATTAAGGGAGAAGAGGAGAGGGGAAGAGTAGGGGAAAGAGGGAGAGAACAAAATGGGGTTTCCTTGGAGGGCCCTAGGAAGTCACCCAGGGATGATGGGGACTACATTGTTTTTCAAGCTAGATTTTCCTGTCTGTGTCCCTCAGCTACCAAACTGATTCAAAGCTCTCTTCTTACCTTATACACTTCTGAACTTTATACCACAGATAACTCAGAATCTTTGCTAATGAACCAAAACCGGAGAAGAATCCAAGCTGTGAGATTCATGCTCCAGATATCCAAAGGCAGATTGATATTGAGTAGTTGCTAATTAAACTTAACTTAGGAGATATATCTCCAGAACCCAGCCCAAAGTTTGTAGAACCATGACCATATAGGGCTATAATTTCACTGTGACCTATTCTGTCAATTCTACCTAAAATAAATAGGGCACTAAGCCACTGTATCCTGCCCTTGAATTCTGAGCATCCCATCGGGAACATAACAGAGAAGCTGCGCTTATAGGATCAAGCAACATAAAATCTGTGCAACCAAGACTTTCTGTAGCGTAGTAGCCAGATCAATTGTGTGTTTCTTTGTTTTGTTTGCAAGCAGTAAAACTGGCTCTGGCTAACTGAAGCAACGCAGCTTTAGTGGTAGGACATAGGATCATTTGAAAACTTAAAAAACCTCTAAAGAGCCAATCTTAGGGGAAAAAAAGAAGCAGAGATCCAAGCAGCAGGAACTAATCAACAATTAAGGTGACAACACTACAAAGAATCAGCTCCAATCATCTTTTCATCCTGGCATCACTGAACTCTATAATATTTGGAGTCCTCAAAATGGGAAATGAGTTGGCCTTATTTGGTTCTCTTACTGATCTCTTGGCTAGGGCAACTTGATTGACAGCTCCATCAAGAATATGAACAATGGGGAAGAGACAGTTATACAAAGGAAAATCGGGGACGGAGTTCTCAAAAGCGGGGGTGAGGTGAGAAACCAATGTTTTAAGTAAAGGGAAAAAAATCCACTCCAGTATCCCAGGGCTTTGATTTCTCTTAGGGATCTGGATTCTCTCATTCACTCATGTGCATATATGTTCTTTCTTTCTCTCTTTCTCTCTGTCTCTCTGTCTCTCTGTCTCTCTCTCTCTCTCTCTCTAAGACAGGGAGAGAGGAGAAGTGATAAAGAAAGGAACATGCAGAAAGAGGGATGACTTTCAAAAATATCCAAGGCAACTATTCTGGATGAAAATAATGTATACATATGTAACTAACCTGCACATTGTGTACATGTACCCTAAAACTTAAAGTATAACAATAATAAAATAAAAAAAAGAAAAAGAAAATAATGAGCTTGTGACACTTTTTTTTTTAGGTTTTTCAGCCTTTTTTTGGCAGAGCAGTTTTAGGTACACAGCAAAATTAATAAGAAGGGGCAGATATTTCCCATATAACATCTGCCCTAGCACAAGCATAGCCTCCCCCATTATCTACATCCACCACCAGAATGGTACATTTGTGAGCCATTATTATACTGACACATCAATATCATTCAAAGTCCATAGTTTACATTAGGGTTCACTCTGTGTTGTGCATTCTATGAGTTTGGACAACTATACAATGACATGTAGCCATCACTACAGTGTCATACAGAATATTGTCACTATTTTTAAAATCTTCTATTCTCTCCCTACTTAACCCTTGCAATCACTGACCTTTTTACTCTCTGCATAGTTTTGCCTTTTAAAGAAAGTCATATAGCTGCAATCATACAGTATGTAATATTTTCAGGTTGGCTTATTTCATTTAGTAAGACCCTTTAAAGTTTCCTTCTTATCTTTTCATGGCTTGATAGCTCATTTCTTTTTAGCCCGGAGTAATACTCTATTGTCTGGATATACCACAGTTAATTTATCCATTCACCTACTGAAGGACATTTTAGCTGCTTCTGGGTTTTGGTAATTATGAATAAAGCTGCTAAAAGTATCTATGTGTAAGACATAAGTTTTGTGTGGACATAAGCTTTCAACTCTTGGGTAAATATAGAGGAGGTCAATTGGCAGATTGTATAAGAGTATGTTTAGTTTCATAAGAGACTGACAAAATGTCTTCCAATGTGGCTGTAACACTTTTCTATCAGCAATATATAAGAGATCCTGTTGCTCCATAGCCTTGCCAGCATTTGGTGTTGTCAGTGTCCCACATATTGGCCATTCTAATAAGTGTGTAGCAGTATCTTGTTGTTTTAATTTGCATTTTCCTGCTAACATATGATGTAAAGCATCTTTTCATATGTTATTTGTTATTTGTATATATTTTTGGGTGAAGAGTCTGTGATGGTCTTTGGCCCATTCAGACAATTTTAAAAGACTTTTTGAAATGGTATAATAATAGCAGAAATGTTTATTTTTGACACCTTAAAATAGCTGTTTTAAGAAAATTAATTTTGATGAAAATGAAGCCCTTTAGTCTGCTGATACCTTGACATGCAAATCTGGGAGAAGTTACAGTGTGGAGTTCGTAATAGAACAGTTTGAAGAGCTGTGGGATGAGAATGTGGAACTAGAAATCAGAAAGTATATTCTGTTAGCAGAAAACCCTGGACTGCTCAGGACATGTACACCAAGACTGCCCTTTTGGGAAAGCCATTTATGGTCTGTGTTCCAAAACAAAGCTGAAAGAGGTGATAACAAAGCAAAACAAGATAGAAAAATGAAATAGTAGAACACATAGAGATCCAGAGGAGTCTATACAGAAGGCATGGGAAACAGGATTAACAGAATAACTGCCTTGACAGCTAGTGGCCCTTCAAGTCCAGTTCATGTCCCTCTTGAAGAGTGGTGAAATTTCTAGGCCTTGGGGAAAAGATATACCCATGGATAAATCCTTCTATAATTAAACCAGATGGATCGGTTTCTGGTTTACTGCTATTAAAACAATTCCAGTATAAGACAAATACCCTTAGTTAATTTTGCACCAAAAGTTCATGTCCTGGCCAGGAATCTCAGGAGGCTGGATGCCAGTCAAGATGGGTCATTTGACACAAAGGAAGGAGAGGTCTGCAAGGGAATCCTGCTATGGAAACTTTAGCATCAGTAACTGCGGGGATGAAGATATGAGCATTTGCCAACTTGGGAAAATAATAATTATAAACAGAGATCTGAAACTTGCAGTTCTGGCAGGCATTCCATTGCTAGCCCCACAGCCTGTGTTGGGTGAATCATGAGACTCCTATCAGCCTCCCTCAGATTGTGAGCAACCAAGTGTGATGAGGATACTTGTCACTACTTTTCACAGCTCATGAGTGGTGAGCGATTACTGTGATTAACAAGGACACTGGGTCCATTCACATGATGAACTTGCAGCTTTTGCCAGTGAGGAATTATGGTGATTAGCTATTCAGAGTGATTAAAAGTTCACTGGCTAAGGCAAAACCTCAGCTGATGGGAAAACAGTGATGGAGGGGGGCATGCCCACTGCATGGGGAGTGGATGCTGATACAGAGCCACTAATATGAGAAGCAGAGGACGAATATCAATTGTCATTAATTTTGTTGCATCCACAATGACCCATAATAAACTGACCTTCCCTGACAGAGAGAAAAGGGGAGAAAAAGCAATTATTAACAGAAGAATATTTTTTGTTTGGGGGGGGGAGGGATTAAAATCCTGTTTATCCTGAGAAAATAGGATTAACTTTAAAACATCTCCATTAACTCTATTTTGGCCAGATTCAAGGATAGTTGGGTCTAATAAATGCAGATATATAAAATGGCATTGAAAAGACTTGGCATAATGGTTAGTAACCTAGGCTCTGGGATCAGATACATCAAGGTTAATTATCTTCTACTTAACAGCTGTGACCTTGTGACGTTCACTCAGTCTGAAAAACATCAGTAAATCTAAACACCGAATTGCTGAAGGATTCAATGAGAAAAATGCTTAGAAATGTGCCTAGCATACCACCCTCAAGAAATATTATTAGTAACCACAAAAACAATCTAGAAATCATTTTGTCATTCATTGCAAATCCAAGGGATTCATATACTTTTATGTGCCCATTGAAGTCTGTGTCACTTAGGCATACTTACCAAATTTACAGTTGATATCATACTGTGAAAAATATTCAACTGAAATGGATAACAAAATTGAGATCTCAAATGTACTCAACTATCTGAGATAATAATTCAACTGTAACATAGTGAAAATTGAATTCTGTAACTTATTCCACATCAGTCATCATACTCAGCACTGGGCATATAGAGATGATTAAGAAGGGGGCTATGCTATCAAAATGCTCAAGGTCCAGTTGGAGAGTGTCTTAGTCCATCTGTGTTGATATAAAGGAATACCTGGGGCTGGGTAATCTATAAAGAAAATAGGTTTATTTGACTCACAGTTCTGCAGGCTGTATAAGAAACATTGCACCAGCATCTGCTTCTGATGAGGGCCTCAGGCTGCTTCTATTCATAGTGGAAGGCAAGCCAGTGTGTGCAGTGAGAAAGGGAATGAAAGAGAGAGAGGGAGGAGGTGCTACGCTCTTTTTAATAACCAGGTTTTTTAGGAACTAACAGAGATGGAACTCACTCATTACTATGAGGATGTTACCAAGCCATTCATGGGGGATCCACCTACATGACCAAAACACCTCCCATTAGGCTCCAACTTCAATACTGGGGATCAAATTTCAATGTGATATTTTGAGATGTCAAACAAACCATACTCAAACTATAGCACAGAGAGATGTACACATCAACAAAGGCAATCCCCTTGGATAAGCACAGTCACAAGGCCGTTCCAGAGAAAGGAGTATGTAATCTTCTACAGGATGGGAGGAAGAGAGAAATCGAGGGAGTTTTATCTCATCTGAATTTCAGGCAGAGAAAACACAACATGCAAAGAAATGAAACGTTAAATGACATGTCATATTTGAGAGACTATAGTAGAAGGAGAGAAGTGGTGAGTGAAAGGAGAAAACGAGAGAGAAATATATGCTGGGAAAGATATTGAGAGATTCAAGTGCCATGCTAAAGAATGTAGGTGTTATCTTGAAAGGTACAAGGGAGGAGTCAAATAGTTGATTCAAAAAATCTATTTAGTAAGCACCTTCTGTGTGCTAGACATTGGCACTTAGAATGTATCTGGTAGCAGACAAGATTTCCTGACCTCCTGGGACTTATATTCTAATGACAGAAAGGAATAATATTGAGCATGTAAATAAATTTTAAAACTTTTTTCCAAATAGTATTAGGTGCTATCAAATATGCTGCAAAGAAAGTATAATAGGGTAAAGAAACAGTGATGTGGACAAGGATGCTACCTTGAGCCAAGGTAGTCTAGGAGTGCTTCTCTCAGGAGGTGACATCTGAGCTGAGGTGTGAATAACAAGAAAACCAAACCAGGCAAAGATTTGGAGACACGGCAGTTCAAAGTATAGAAAAAGAAAAGTAAACTACTCACTCTTTTAAGAAAGTGAGAAGGAGGCAGTGAGTTTGCAGCTTGTGAGGAAAGGATGGTAGGAGTTACAACTAGAGAAGAAAGAAGTCAGGAGCCAGATATTGTAGGCCAGAGGTTCTCCCTGAGAGCCGTCAGGGTAGCCATACCTATGGGCATTTCTGGGACTCTTTCAGAGTGGGTTTTTTTTTGTTTGTCAGTGACAACAACAGAAACTCCTTCCTGGCATTCAGAAAACACAAAACAGGACTACAAGGGTTCCTGTAGCACACAGGAAAGTCTACACATCAGAGTTGTGATTCGTCTTATATGACTTTCTAATGTCCCACTAAACACTTATTTAGATAAAACGCCAGCTAATAGTTATCCGATCCTAAAATCTAACTTCATTTTAAATCAGAGCATTTTTTAAACTAAAGATATATTAGTCCCCAACTCTTCCAAAAACACAAATACCTTATAAACTGAGGGAAGAGTAAACATAGTTTTGTTCTGAACATTACCAAAAACATTTTGGGATATAATGTCACCATAGCAATGCTGCTTGAGGTGTCTGAGTTACTAATCAAAACACAAACACACCTGTATCAATCTGCATTTGTTGCTCACATGTTCCTCATGACTTTACCTATAGATGCAAGTATTTATCTACTCACGACTTCTAGTGTAATTATGCCTATATATGTACATGCTGAATATATATTGCATTATTATAAATCACTTTCCTTCTATTCTGCATTATACAAAACTAGGACATTATTTCTATATTTGAATTCGTGATCAGATAGGTTATATTATCTGTAAAGTTCATTATGAGAGTAAAGTGGGTAAATGAAAATATTTGTTCATAAAATGAAGCTATTGACTTTGATAGAGCTGAGGATCACTATAGGACATGGTGAGGAAAGTGGATTTTATTCTAAGACCAATGAGAAATTTAGAGAATATTTTAAAAGAAGTGTTGTGATCTGATTTGCAACTTTAGAAGCTCACATCTGCATTTGTAGAAACCTGATTGTGAATGGCAAGATGGAAATCAGAGAGACCAGAGAAAAGCTTGATGCAGAAGTCAAGGTAGGCAAGGACAGGGGCCTGGACTAATGAGCTAAGAATCGTTTGTGAAAGTTTATGTTTTTGTCTGCTTAGAACACTTGAAGTATTTAAAGATGTTTATCATATCATTTCTTATTATTTTCTACTTTCTGCTAAATATGCCTAGATCCTTCAATTATATTCTATATGACATGGTTTCTATGCTTGATCTTAGCCAAAAGGCTGAGAAGTAATCGACATGGTTTCTAGACTTCTTTCCACCTTTGCTGACATCTTCTGAAAATATTCTAGGTTGTCCATGTCTCTCTTGGACTTCCCAGAATTGAGGGCAATTCTGCAAATGGAGTTTGACTCATTCACTGGACAGTTAAACAACTAGCACCTGTGACTGCTCTACGTTGCTGCCTATTGAAGAATGAATTCGTGTTTTTTTTTGTAGCTGCATTGTGTCATTTATTTATATTCCACTTTTTGTGAACTATGACTTCTTCTCTTTGAGCCTATATGCTGGCCTTTATATTTCTAACACCGTTACCCAGATTAGCTTTCATTTCTCCCTCTCCTTTACCACTGGAATTCAATACATCATGAGGTGGAATTAGAAAGAGATGTGCTCTACACATTACAAAAGCCTTAAAAAAAATAAGCCAACATGTGACAAATTTCAGCAGAATAGTCCAAACAGCAGGTGTCATGGTGCTTGCCATTTTTTCATAAGCTCCAACCTGTATAGGTGGAACCTTTCCTCAAAACCATTTTATCTTAGACATCTATGTTTGTTCTGTCACCAACCATATCTACCTAGCAATAAAAATATCTCTCTCCAATCCAACAAGTTGTACCTCTGCAGGAGAGGATGTTTTATTAAATAATGAGTTCCTATCATTGAAAGCATTTAAGCAAACTTTAGATATACTAGATGCTTTGGATCTACTAGATGGAATTTAAGGTTCCTTATAATTCTAAATTCTACTGATACCATGATTTTTATCACCTTTTACCAACTGTGCCTGCAGTTACACTAGTTCTCCTACTCACACTTTCTTGGGGGAATGGCTTCGTGAAATTGACTGTTACAGCTATCTACTGCTATATAATGAACCACCCCAAAACTTACTGACATAAAACAATAATTTTATTACACTTATGGATTCTACAGGTTAGGAATTTGGACAGAGAACAATAGTTTGTCTCTGCTTCCCAATTTCTGGGACCTCTATTTGGAAGACATGCATGGCTAAGTATGACTAAGATATCTGGAGATAGCTCCAACCACTGGAGCCTAGAATTATCCAGAAGTGCCTTCATTCACATATCTGACACCTAGGCTGGCATAACTCAGGAGCTAGTCTCAACTGAAACTAACTGGGACATCATGAGGCTTCTCCATGTGGCTTGGGCTTCCTCACAATATGGTGAGTGTAAGAGCAGTCAAACTTCTTACATGGCAGCATAGGGCTCCAAGAACAAGTGTTCAAAGAGCAAGGCGGAAACGGTATGCTTTTTATGACTCTCATAAATCATCTATCACCATGTATTATTGGTTGAATCTGTCCAGCTGCCCAGATTTAAGGGGAGAGAGTTATAGACCCCACCTCTCAATGGGAGAAATGAAGCCGCATTTTTTAAGTTGCCACATTCCCTATTGGGTTTACTTTAAAATTTCAGATCATAACAACCAAGGTTTGTTTTTTTCCTCCTAAATTTCCTGACTCTGGTTGAAGTAAAGTATGCACCTTCATCGTGTATGAACAGGCACTGGGGCTTCTAAGCACAACAGGGAAGAAAGATGCAACCAATGCTTCCACTAGACATGACAAGATTTTTCTGGAGCCTAACAGCACATATGCCTTTGTAGTGGAACAAAGACTGACATTCTGAATACCTGCTGCTTCCTTTATAGACCCTCAGAGCTCCAAGATTAAACTCTGCAGCATCCCAAACCCTGGGAGGAAAAAAGCCTGGCTCAGACTCAATTTATTGTACACTGACCTTTAGTCCACTGAAATTTGTATGTATTCTACAAGTCTCTCAATGCTCTGTTTGGCCTAATTGGTTACCTAGACATGTCCTTATCCTCACCTGGGGACTGTAAACCTTCTTAGGCCTGGGAGAGAAAGTGTGGAGAAAGAGATGACTAGGCTTCCCACAGAGACCCATCAAGTTTCACTTCGGAGTAACAAAGAAAAAGGAGGAAAGCTACCTCAGCAAGGGAATTGACATGCTAGAGGAAGCATCCCCTCCTGGCTGAGTGTAGTGCAGTTCTCTGCACTGACCTCCAACTAATTATTCCTCACTGCACATCAGCAAAGGCGAATCTGATTAAAAACATAAATCAGCACTGTTTCTGTGGGAAGGGTGTGGAGTTGGTGTGTTCATTAAGATGTACAACATTATCAAAAATGGGGGCTTTGGTCATGCCACGGCCATTCCCTAGTTTAACTCAAGATGCCAGAATTCTAGGTTCAGAAATAGTGACCTTTCAGTTTAAATTCCAAACCATTGCAATTGAAGGCAGAATGCAAGTCAACATTCCCATCTTTCACAGCAGGCCAGGCAGTCCTGGCTAGGAGGAAGAAATGAGAATGATATATGGTCACTGATGAGTCTTCATAATGGTAGTTAATGAAAGCTAACTAACTAAGCACTTGCCATGTAAGTGCCAAACTCTTTACATGCATCATCTCATTTTATCCTTGTAACAGTTCCGTTTTACACAAGTGGAGACTGAGACCCAGAGAAGTAAAGTAAGTAACTGCCCCAAATTACAGTGTTTAGAAGTGATGGAACCAGGATTGAGCCAATCTTGGTCTAGATCTACTACTTTAACCACAAGCAATACTGCCTCTGCTTATGAGCATGTGTGAGACACTTTCTAAATACTACCTAGATGGTCAGAAAGAGCTAAGGAAGGTGATGCCTGACCTGAGTCCTTAGGGTAAGGAGAAACCAACCAGTCTGAGAAAGAGAAAAAAGGTGTTTAGAGAGCATTGCAAGGAAAGGGGAATGGAACAGACAGAGCATAGAAGACTTTTTGGGCAGTTAAATTACTCTCTATGATATTACAATGATGGACACATCCCACTATACGTTTATCAAAACCCATAAAATGTACAACACCAAGAGTGAACTTTAAGATAAACTATGGACTTTGGGAGATTATGAGTCAGTGTGGTCTCATCAGTTGTAACAAATCTACCACTCTTTTGGGGGATAATAATAGTAATAATAATTATGAGGGAGGCTATAGATGTGTGGGGGTAGGGAGTCGATGGGAACTCTCTGTACCTTCTGGTCAATTTCACTATAAAAACTACTCTAAAAAAGGGGGGTTGAAAAGTTACGTGTTGGGTACAAGTTTCACTATTCAAGAGATGAGTATGCTGAAAGCCCAGACTTTAGCACTACGCAATATACGCATGTAAGAAACCTGCCCTTGTACCCCCTAAATCTATTAAAAATAAAAAATAAAAAATGAAGTCTGTATTTTAAAAAAGTTAACTGTCTGTAAGAGCCTGAAGGCTTCTGAGAGCCAGGATGAAAGCTCCTTGAAGTCAGGAATCATGTTGTCTTGCTCACTGTGGAAGCCTTTGGCACCCGGCACATAATAGACACATGAAGAGTCAAGAGGACAATAGTTGCAAGCATGGGCTCTGAAGCCAGACTACCAGTGTTGAGCCTGTAACCTTTAATGCACAGCTTCACATTTATGAGCTTTGGTTTCCCCATCTGTAAAAAATAGGGGGTGATAAGAGAATCTGCCTCCTGGAGTTTAGGGTAGGATCAAATGAGATCATGTGGGTCAAGTGCATACCTGGTCTAGTGTCAGCCATAGGATCAGAGCTCAAAACAATGGTAAAGATGGTTGTTTATTTTTAGACCTCAGTAAGTCTTTGTCAGGGAAATGAATAAATGCTGTTGGTATGATTTATTAGAAGGCAGCAAGGATTTCAATACAACTACAAAGAGTGAGAGACAAGTAGGGCAAGATAAAGCTGATGCCAAATTGGACATCCTTACTTTGCCTCCTACCTTTTCCTTATATTTCATGATCCTAATGGTGATGGTGATGAGGAGAAGAAAGATATTGCTTTCTATTTACACTAAGATTTGCACTTCATAGCATATTTCCATGGTAATTATTTAATTCACCCTTCCAAGCAAATATATTCACAGAATAATGTTTTGGTCAACAATTAACCACATACAGGATGGTGGTCTTTTAAGCTTATAATGCCATAATTTTACAGTACCTTTTTTATGTTTAGATACACAAATACTTGCCATTGTGTTATAATTGCCTGCAGTGTTCAGTACTGTAACATGCTGTACAGGTTTGCAGCCTAGGGGCAATAGGCCATACTATATAGCCTAAGTGTACAACAGGCTATCCCATCTAAGTGTTTGTAAGTACATTTTATCATGTTCGCACAACAATGAAATCATCAAGTAACATATGACAGTATATGACAAATATACAATATGTGTGTCTTGTCCCCATTTTGTGTAAACCTATTGAAACCCAGAGAGGAAAAGTGCCTGTAAAAAGTCGACAGATTGATAAGTAACAGAAAAACACAGCCCAGTTATTCTGACCCTGGCCTCTTTATCACTCTACATGGATAATAGAGTTAGCATAGAAACTCTCAGGGAATTTCTTCGACACCAGAGAATCAGTTTGACAGATTTGCTGACTATTCACAAAACCTGCTTCTTTTTTTTTCCTGGAACATACCTTTACTAAATTTTCTTTACTACATTCACTATATTTTTATGGTATCTTAAAATGGTTGTTTTTGTCAGAATAGCCTAGAATTTCTGTAAATATTTTGGTTTATTATAATAAGCATGTTCCTCTCTAGAAAAAAATTATTCAAAATAATTCTTTAAGGTAAAAATCTTTAACTTTAAAACAGTTCTGATCTTTTAAAAGAAAAAAGTTTATTAAGATCCCTTTAGCTTGATAAACAGGAATTATCTCTTCTGGTTGCACTCTAGTGAACATGAGTGCACTTCATATGCTCATTGACTGTGTTACTACATGTCCGTTGCAGGTAGGTGTGATCATGTGACTGAGCTCTGATCAAAGGATCGTGGGAACATCCAGGCTCGACCCATGAGATCTTCCCCTTTTTCTCCTTGAACAGCAACATTACAAGTTGAATACTGCAGACTTGCAAAATGGAAGAAACCTGAATTCCTAAATCACAGCTTTGGACAGAATTGCCAAATGATCTGGAACCCCATTTGGAAATCAAAATGAGAAATATATTTCTATTATACTAAGCTGCTGAGGTTTATCTGTTTCAGCAGGTAGCCTTCATTACCTTAACTAAATAAAAGCAGGGAAAGGAATATCAATATTACAAACGCAGACATTCAAATAAGAGCAATCTTCAGAATGTCCAGGCCCTATACTCCAATGAACCTTAGGTTATTTTCTAGAATTGCAGTTGGTGGCAATCCTGACAATGGGTAGTAATAGATGAGAATTGTAAGATGGTAAATTCTTTTAGGGCAGGGGTCCTATCTATCTTTGTGTCCTCAGCACATCACATAATACCAGACACAAGGTTGATGTTTAATAAAAGGTGATATGTACACGGTTAATAACCATCCTAACATCCATTTCCTAAGGATATGACAGTTGAATGGATCTTGAATGTTTAGGTTCTTCAAATGGAAAAGAGCAATTTCCTGCAGGAAACCTCTTACAGAACAGATCTTCCATGACTTGGTGATAGTTAAGATGGTAAGGGACTTGATTCATTCATTTCTTCAAAGCTATTTATTGAGTACCCATTATATGCCTGGCATTATTATAACAGTACAACAAATGCAAAAAGCAGCACAGAGGATAAGAGGTCAGCAAAAAATAAGACAAATAAAGCTTTTGTTTTCTTGGCTCTTACACTCTAGTGAATTTCTACATACACGGTGAAACCCTTACGAACAAAAACCTAGGTTCAAATCAGCTAGGTACTCAGTAGTCTGAGTGCATATCATAACAATGAGTGTGTTCCAGGCTAGCAAAGTTTTGATGAGAGACACATTATAATAATAGTCCATTCTCCCAAAGCATGAGAACACCCTATCCAAACATATGAATAAAGAAAATCATCAACTGAAATCTGGACAACAGTTAACCAGATCCACACTGAAGAAGTTAAATTATGCAGGGAAGAAAAATCACAATAACAAATGACTGGTAAAGATAACCCTCTGTGGCTGGTTATATGGTAGGTGATGATGATAGCATCAATCCATTCTGTTTCTAAGCTCCTGTTTTAAAAGAGTTAATCATATAATTTGGCTACAGAAACACTAGCAATGGCAGATGTGCTGTCCAACTGACCAGGTTAAGAAAAATAAAGGCAGATGGTTTTAGATTAAAGTCTGGATGGCAACGTTGTCATTAGAGAATTGACGTTCTGTCACTAGGCCAAGGTTCTTCTATTTACTTTACTCTCTAAATGATCTGCCACCTGGTGGTCCAGGGACTAATTTAGCAGTTTAGTCATGGGCAGCTGATAAAAACTAATTAATTAATTTGGATTCAGTGATTCATTCAACAAATATTTATTGCATGCCTACTATGTGTGCAACATCATCGCAAGTGCTAGGGAATACAGCAACCATCAAAATAGTAAGCAAATAAGGTGGCTTTAGATTCTGTTAAGTGCTCACAAAAGAACAAATCAAGATCATAGGGGCAGGGGACACAAAACATTAGAGGGCTCAGGGAAAGCCTATCTGAGGAAATGGTAAGAGCTGAGACGTGAAAGAGGAGATATTAGTTTTCTATTATTGTGTAACAAATTGCCACAAACTCAGCACCTTTACACAGCTTACTGTCTTACTTACTGAAGTTTCTGTGAGTCAGGAGGCTGGGCTGGTTTGTCAGTCCTCCACTCTGGGTTTTGCAGGCCGAAGTCAAAGTGTTCGCAGGAGCTGTGATCTCATTTGAGGTTCAGAGTAGTCCTCTCCCAAGTTCCTTGGTTGTTGGCAGGATTCTTTTCCTCGTGTCTGTTTAACAGCGGTGCCCGTTGTCTTGCTAGCTGCTGGCTGGGGACCACCCTCAGCTCCTAGACATCGACACCATCCTCAGGCATGTACCACATGGACCCTCCTCTCACAATATGGCTGTTTGCTTTCCATTAGGCCAGCAGGGGAGTGTCTTTCTGATACTTCACCTTCTTTTAAAGGGATCACTCAATTAGATCAGACCCATGTGGGAGTCTGTCTTTTGATTAACTCCATCAGCTGATCAGTAACAACATCACTGGAGTGATGTAGCATCATATTCACTGGCCCCCAAGCCCCAGCAGTCAGTGTGAGTGGTATATGGTAAATGCACCTGATAGTAATAACTTAAGCATACCTTGAGAATGAACCTGTATGGCACGTGGACCTGAGTGGGGTTAGGGATTCTGAGCTAGAGAATCTGGGAGTGGCCAACCCAGGGATCCATTCCTTATCTGTGAGAAACACCTGTGCCCCCGTCCCATCAGTGTTAGGCAGGCCATACAGGATATTCAGGCCCTTTGTTTTGGGTTAAATGAAGGCTGCCAGGTGGAAGTTGTTAGCGGGAGGGTGCAAAGTGAAAATGCTATACAAACTGCATGTTTTTTGTAAGTGGTTGCAGTTTTCCTGCCCAGCCACCACCACTGGACTCTCTACCCTGTATGGAAGCCCCCAGTAAGACCCCATGTCTCATTTGCTGGCTTCAGGTCTTTTCTTTGGCTTCTCAAACTTGGTGCCATCCCTACTGAGATTCAAAGGGGTCCAGCACAACAGTGGATTATATAGGGTGTGGGAAACTCTCAAGTGTGGGAAGCTTGGGGGCCTTCTTAGAATTCTGCCTACAGCCATTCCAAATCAGGGAAAAGGCTTTAAAGCACGGTCCCCAGAAAGCACAAAGAGCCTACACATTTCAACAAACTTGTATTTTCAGGAAAGGGAAAAATGGGTGTACTGAAACATGTGGATGAGGCACAGGGAGGGAGCGCAGGAGGTAGGAGGCATCAGCAGGTGTGAGCCCACTTGGTAGCCATGATCATGAGTTTGGATTTCATTGTAGGTGTGAAGCGAAGCCCCTAACATTGAGTCCCCTGGTATGATCTTAGGCTTGTCCATGACAGATCAATGGATCCCAAGTCAAGAGAAACGAGAGACAACTGGCTGGGGCTTCTTCTCATTTTGCAAAATGAGGCCCGTGCTAAAGGCTCTTTACAGGTCTGACATTCCATTTTTTTCTAGGTTCTATTTAAAAGACTATTTAGGTGAAAGCAGAAATAATATGAATATAATCACTTTCTAGCCTTGGCTGACCTAATTAGAAAGAAATCTGGTCTTCTGCTTCTTCCATACATCTTCCAACACTCATGAACACACCCTTGAGTCACTTCATAAATAACAACAATAATATTAATAATATAGAGGCATTTCCAGGAGCAAAATGCAATTTGTCCTTTGGTCAGGGGAGAATTCATAATTACTGTTTTTAAAAATTTCTGTCAATGCAGATTTTCAAAATAATACTGAGACAAGAGTTTATTGTTAAGAAATGCTAGCTGATCACAGTCATTTTTTCTTCTTCCTAATCTGAGGCTAAAAGGGAAAACCAAGTCTGAATTAAGCAACCTATAGAAATGTCACTACATCCTAATCTACCCAGAAGTCAGAGGCATAAACTGCTTTCTCAATATCTTCTAATTGAAGTACTAGCAGGATTTACTTGGGGCTTTCCTTTGAGGCTCTGATTAGCAAAGGGAAAAACAAATTTAAGAAATGCTAGAACTAAAATTCTAAAAGTTGAGGTCCCAGTGAGAGCTGTTTGATGACTCCTAGATTTTGTAAAGTGCCTACCATTAATGTAACTTTCCAAGTCTCATCTGGACTAAAATTTGGATTATCAATAAAATAAGGCAATATAAAATCCTCCTTTTTTCAATGGCCCTTTCTGGCTTCCATGGCTGAGGTCTCACATTGTAAAGATCATATTACACTATTTTCCTCTCAGGAAAGAAGAGAAATTTATTCTGTGAAGCAACCTAAAAATAACTCATTCGAGAGCCAGTGGCTTCCATGGTTACCAAAGACCCTGTTGATTCTTTACTCTAATAGGCAACCACAGTTGGGGAATCATTTGAATAGAAACAACATACACTCAAAATAGCATGAAGGTCCCTAGAACAGGGCAGTGCATCCCTCCATTCCACTAAGTGCAATCTTCTTCACAGCCCTATGAAAAGCCCATGCCTGGAAGAAAGGAATATACTTTCAAAAACTAAATGAAATTTTGCCCTGAATCAATTTCCTGTTATGGGAATCCCCACCATGCTGTGTATGCACTGACAAACCCCACAGTACTTCATAATGTAAATTTTTAAAATACTGTGCTCATAAATAACAACTGATTATATAATTTCAATTAAAGGCATCAAAGGGGTATTAGGTAAGGTATTGCTTTCTTCAGGTAAAATTACATCACATAGCATTACATGAAAGTTACACATGTACCTGATGTGGTTGAAAATAAGATAATGTATGTGTGTGCATATATATATATATGTTCAAAAAACATATACTTATATATTTATGTATTCCTTTATGTATATGAAGTCTCCTATGAGTCTAAAACCCCATTCCAGTTTGTTTTCAGAAGGAGGGATCTAAGAATCTACTTTTGAAAAAACAATTTCATATTTTCATCACAGATTTTCAGGTCTAGCATACCCAAAACATGTTTGTTGAAATATAAGAAAAATATACAATAAAATACACTAAAATTGTCTGCACATTAACTATGCTATAATAAATGCTCAAAGAAAGCCAAAGATATGTTTAATATATTTATGTACCAGCAACCAAGATTAGAAGCATAAACAGATCTGACATAAATTGGTTTAAAAATTGATTTTTAAAATATAAGTATAAATTAGCTTAAACTTTTTTGCACCCATGGTGGGCTCACAGTTCTTTTTAACATCCAGCAACATCCAGCAAGTGGCTGCCATGTGCTGAGCACTTTCTAAGCATGAGGTTATAGCTGTGAACAAGATGGACAAGTTACCTGTCCTCACGAAGCTTATATTCTAATGGGGGAGATAGACAAACCAAGAAAATTCCAAATGATAATGAATTCCATTGAGAAAAATAAAGTGATTTGATATTAGAGAAAAGCTACTTTAGGTAGTATGGTCAGAAAAGCTTCTGTAAGATTTTGAGCTCTGATTTAAAGTAAGTAGAAACAGCCAGCAGTGAAAAGATCTAGATGAAGTGCACATGGGAAGAGAGAACAACACACTGTCTTTTAACAGTGTTTCTCAAGCTTGAATGTGCAGGAACTCCCAGTTTGGGCTATGATGGAATACAGAGACTAGATTTACCCTCCTGACTTAGACAACTTAAAAATTGATAAAATATATGAAACAACAGTATTCAAAAGTTTGGACAACAGGCAGTAAACGGCAGTGATCCCCGAAGGAAGAAAAACAAATTAGGGTGGTCCTGTGATTACTCTGGCTAACTACAAAGAGCAGGAGGTAAGAAAGGACTTGGCTTGCTAGAAAAACGAAGCAAGCCAGGATGCTTGGAGCAGAGGAAACAAGCAATACGAGATGAGCTGGAAAGGAAGCCAGAAGGGCTGTGATAAGAAGCTTAGATTTCACTCTAAGTGCTTTGGGAAGCCATTAGAAAAATTTAAGAAGGGTAGTAATAGGATCAGAAAATAGCTTTTAAAAAATGACTCTGGCTGATTGTATGGACAAAGGACTGAAATATGCAAAGAGCATGAACAAGGTGATTACTTCGGGGGCCATGCAATAGTCCAAGTGGGAGACGATGTTGGCTTGGCAAGAGTGGTGGCAGAAAGGTGGAGAAACACAAGTGGTGTTTCTTAGACATTAATATAGGGCAGACCCAAAAATGCTAAGGAAACCCAAAGTCTTCATTTTCCAGAGTTGTGGGTATGGGAGAGTTAGGTGTCTCTCATTTACGAGTGGGCTGTGTTCCCAAAGCTTGTTTCAAATTCAGGCTACCTGTTTCCAAAGATATGCATGAGTATCTTCTGGGATTTCTATGAATAATGAATTGGTCTAATATTCAAATTGGTGATGGGCAGAAAATTTCCAGAGTTCCACCCTTTTCCTATTATCTGACCTAATTTCAAAGCAGAATGGCTTCAAATGGTCAACATTTGCCTAATGGCTTTTTTTATGTTTTTGTTTTTTCTGTTGCCTCAACTAATTGCTTTAGAATATCACTTTTATTATCTCCCAGATCTTTTCAATAGAAAACAATGTCAGTGATATATATTATTAAGGTATTTGGGTTCTCCAGAGACGGATACTGAACTTATCAGTGATCTCATAAATCTTGGTTTACCAAGAGTACATCAACTCTAGCGTAGAAGGCATCAGAAACCTCTTTTCAGAAAAAGGGTGGCATCTGAGAAGAAATTACGAAAAAAAAATTGTATTGGGTCTCATAAAATCTTAGGGGATGACTCCATCTCTGAGCAAGTTTGGATAGAACTTGGTGGACACAATGAGGCTAATGAAGTCTTCTAAGATTGTTTCTCAAGCTTGAATGTGCAGG
This sequence comes from Homo sapiens, assembly GCF_000001405.40. Classification (NCBI taxonomy): domain Eukaryota; kingdom Metazoa; phylum Chordata; class Mammalia; order Primates; family Hominidae; genus Homo; species Homo sapiens. Next base: position 155,466,075 of record NC_000005.10, on the reverse strand, counting down.
AACTCCATATAGAGACTAGATTTACCCTCCTGCCTTAGACAACTATAAAACTTGATAAAATATATGAAACAATGGTATTCAAACGTTTGGACAACAGGCAGTACAGGACAGTGATCCCTGAAGGAAGAAAAACAAATTAAGTGGGTCCTATGATTACTACTCTGGCTGACTACCTCGAAAAGTTTCAAGGTCACAGTGCAGGATACGGGAACCCAAACAGAGCCCAGTGTACTACCTCAGTTGAAGAAACAGTGATGAAAATTTGGGAGGTCAAGGTGGCTCGAATTTGCAGAGCAGAGCTGGATAAGAGATGGTTGCACAGAGAGAGAGCCCCAGAAATCTGCAAAAGGTTCAGCTGAGTACAGGTGAATGCATCACGGATGTAAGAAAACTACATAATTCCTGGATAAAGGAAATGAAATAATCCCTGGAGCTCATACACGGTGGTCATAGTTTGTGTTCCCACCAGCCACAGCGGGAAGAACTTTGTAATACATGGACATCAGGTATTGTTCTGCCTCTAAGGATGTAGAACAAAATTAGCCCTAAACTAAAAAGTTACCTTTGTCCTACCTAGCAAAGCTTAAAAGCAATTCCTTGAAAGGATAAAATTATTTCTAAATAAATTGTGTCCCAGAATAAAGCATATGAAATTTAAAGGAATATAAAATGTTTACCAAACAAAATAAAGTCTACAATGTCTGGCATCCAATAAAAAATTCCAGGTAGACAAAAAAGTGAGAAAATAGCACCCATAATGAGGAGAGAAATCAATCAATGTAAATAGGCTCAGAAATGACACAGATGATAGAATTAGTAGAAAAGGACATTAAAACAGTTATTATAAATACATTCCATATGTTAAAGAAGGTAGAGGAAGGCAGGAGGACATTATAGATATGACTATATATAATATATATAAATATTATATATATTTTAAAGATCTAAGTTGAACTAAATAATAAAAATGCAATAATTGAGATGAAAAATACACCGGATAGGATTAACTGTGGGATTAGACACTGCTGAAGAAAATATTACTAAACTTGAAGACATCGAAATAAAACTTCAAAAGGAAACACAGAAGAAGAAACTGAAAAAAAATGAACACAGCATCGATGAATTGCAGACGAACTTTACACAGGATTGTATATGTAAGTTGAGGTACTTGAAGGAAAAGAGGAAGTATGGTATTGTAAAAATATTGAAGGAATAATGACTGAAATGTTTACAAATGTGTTGACCCAAGAAGTTCAATTAACCCCAAGCATAAGACATGAAGAAAAGGATACCAAGGTACATCATAATCAAATTGCTTAAAACCAGTGATAAAGAAAAAACTCTTAATCAGCCATGAAAAAGCTTTAATGTAAATACAAGTTCCTTAGGTATTTGTTACAATGCAAGTTCTGACTCAACAGGTCTGGGGTGGGACCTGAGATTCTGCATTTCTGAAGGTTCCTGGGTGAACCAAATGCTGCTAATATGAGAATCACACTGTTGAGAAGCAAATTCCTAAGATTCAAGTGGCCAAACTCTTTTGTTTTTCTAAGTTAATTCAAGATACTAAAAGATTCACAACTGAAAGAGAAAAGATGGATCTGTGGAAATATGTGATAAGGTGTTCGGGTTTCCAGCCAATTTCATTTCATGCATTAATAGAGAACATAGAGAATGACATCAAAACCTAGTCTTTAAAAAATCACCTTCCATATCTTTGGGAATAAGGCCAAGTATAGTTTATGTTTTTGCCTTCCTACAGCCATTCCTTATTTGATTATTTTACCCTGATTTTCTTTTGAAACTTTGTCCCCTTATCCACTCCCAAATTATTTACTTTGAGTGAGGATTCCCTCCAAATCCAAGAGTGGAACCCATAAGCCAGCCCTAGCCAATCAGCTCACTTCATTTCACTAGCCACAGTGATTGGATGAGGAAAGAACATGTGATTCTAGTTTGTCCAATTAGACTCATGTGGGAACTTCAAGAAAGAGATTGCTCTTCCACTTGAACCTAGTTGAAGTAGGCTGCATCTGCTGCAATCAACTTGCCTCTTTTAGAAGAGAAAGTGTGTGATAATGTACTCCAAACAGAAGAAGGAGAGTCAAGACAAGGAGAGAGAAAAACTAGGTGCTGGTGTGTCAATTAACTGTAGATCATGCCATTACTGAGGCTAGGTTTATCCTTGGACTCTTTGGATACGTAAGCCATTAAGTAGTCTTTTTTATTTAAGTTATAATTTGTTTGACTAATATTTTCTTTTTATTGCACAGAAACAACCCTAACAGAAACAAAAAAAGTGTGAGTTAAGTAAGCTTTTGTGACCTAGTTCAGGAATTTAATCCCAGTTTGTAATACAATTTCTGTTACCTTGGATTTCAAATCAGGTCTCAGAATTATTAGCGATATTTCTTCCCTACTTGCTGTTAAAGCATTTGTGGTTAGAGGGGAACATAGGTTCTGCCGGGCTGGGTCAGAATGATTTGTCAAAGAGTACCTGAAATTGTTAGTCTAGCCCAATATTCAGTAACTAATGTCCCAGAATGTTTCTAAAAGTCGACATCAAAAAAGATTTTGTGAATAAAGTAAAAGAAAAGCAGCAACATCATATTCATAAATATCTTGACTTGGAAGAGGAAATTCATTAACTAAGACAATGAGTAGCTGATTTATGCTTACCTTCTTTCTTAATTAAAAAAATTACACTGAAATGAATTTGGAGACTCAGATAATTCCGAGTAGACAGAAACCTTAAAATTAAACATGATACATTTTCATTAACAAGACCATAGGATACATACAATGGAAGAAGTGTTCTGGGAAATTATTTTTACTTTCTGGGTCTCAAATTCCATACATTAGAGGAATTGGGTCAGATAGTCTCTTACTTCTAAGTTTCTATGATTCCATTAAGAAATAATAGTTAATTAAGGTTTCAAAGGCCTATTGATTGATAATTCAAGCCCTTAGTTGGGTCTGAATTAAGGCCCAATATTAATCATAAATCAGCATAATAGTCTAGTATAAACTCAGGTGGGCAGAAAATACTTTAATCTGTTAACAATCACATTCTGTGCTAGGTTACTGACCATCTCTCCCCAAAGTCAAATGACACTGGGTTCACATATGACCTTCTTTTTATTCCAAACCAGATATATTAGAAACCTTCTACTGACATCTCGCTCAAGTCTAGAGTTCTCTTATCATAGAAGCACCTTCAGTTTCCTTAGAGAAAGATCCTCAAAGGGAGAAAAGTTAAAACAGATTTCCAAGGATGCTGGCCTATTGGTAACATCCCAAAACAAGGAAAGACAAGACTCCTAGTAAAGATAGCATCGGAAACCCTCCATCTGCTTTGTTTCTTACGGGCGTTACCATGAAGATATGAGGGGTTGGTCTTGAAGGAAATTAGTAAAAATAATATAAAATTGTGGCCAAAAAAAATCTTCATGGAAGTAATACTGAGTCAGGCTTGTATGTGAATATTGCTCAATTCTCTGGCATGATGAGCACCATGTTACTCAGTGACAGAATAGCTCAAGTCTTTTCTGGTCTCTACCTCAAGTATCCCTGGGATACTAAGGGTCCAAGTTGCCCAGAGAGTAGGTCTTGGTCATTGTAATAATATAGATACTTTCATGTAGAATCAAGTTTGATCCTTTTTAAATACAATATGTTTGTAATTCCTATTCCCACACATCAATCTTGGAATGTGATAGTACTCTACAGAATTCACAAGTGGAAAGAATTTCTTTCTATTATTCCTAAAGTAAATAATAGTTCCTCCTCAAAAGTGAAATCTATTGTTAGGATTCTGAAGAGCCGTTGTTGTCTGTAATAACCTCTTATTAATTTTAGACTCTTTTTCTCTGGGTTTCTAGAGTCAGACCCTGGCATCTCTCTTTTCTCTCACACACAAAGAAAGGAAGATGCACTGAGGTCATCTACCATACATGAGGAAGTGTGCCCAGCACAAGAGGTAACCAAAAAGAAGACCAATTGTTTGGACAATTTGACTGGAAAGAGAGAGTGATGCCTTCCAGGACATAACAAAATTTACTGCAGAAGGACAGTAAAGTCTCCATCTCACCATTAGCCAAATTCAATCAATAGTAAGCCACAGAAGATGGATTAGTGGATCAAACCCCTACCTATAGTTTTCAGCCTTTCTAGAACCATGGGAGATTATCACTGTGTTACATGTTCCTGAGGCAAATAAACCCAGCCTCCAGCAGCTTACAATGAGGGCATCTTCCAGAGGAGACCACAAAAATCCAATCTTGCCTCATCTAGCAGCAAGTAGCCTAACAAATACTCTATCTTAAGCTTCAAAGAATATAGATTTATTACTTCCTGAGTCCTATGGACAAAACCTTTAATCACCTATCAGATAATTCCAGTTTCACAAGTGATGTGGATCCATTTCTTATAAGCTCAGAGATTTTCTAGCACTGACTCCAAGATCCTTCCTGTTAAGGAGGACAGGATGTTATCCCGTTTAGCTCTAAAAATGCTGTTCCTCTTCTCTCCTACTGCGTCAGAGTGTGTATGTGCATGTGCGTGTTTGGGATGGAGCTATTGTCTAATTCATTCATTTATTCATTCTGCAAATATTTAAAGACTTACTGTGTGCCAAGTATGCATGGTGCATGAAAATGCACTAGTGACTACAACAGTCACCAGCTAAAGTCCCTGTATTCATAGAACTTACAGACCAATGAGGGCAAATATTTAAACGGGTAACTCAATAAGCAGTGATGAAGGAAATGAGAAAAGTAAACCTAAAAAAGCCTTCAGTAATAATCCAGTCTAAATGGTTCCTGGTGCCCCCAAACCACACCCACTTTAATTTTTGATCATTTTCTCATTTACTTCATAATATCCATCTCAATTATATATTGCTTTCTTAGTGTATTGTTTCTCTGCTTTTGACCCTGGACTGCAGGCTTCAGAAAGGCTGCCTTCATGTCTTTCTGTCTATACCCAGAACAGTGCTTGGAACCTAGCAGGGGCTGAATAAAGTGTGTTTAATGAATAAATGAATTTGGAAGTAAACAAGATTAATATGATTATTTTTAAAAAAATCGTCACAGCTTTGCATGTATCTTACATCATACAATAGCAAAATCCAGTATCCCCATTTTCTCAGGCTTCCCTTGCCCCAAGAACAATGACTGCTTTACACATATCACAGACTACCCTGAGCTGGAATCATTGGGCAGTATTAACAGACAGCTCGGGGCTGAGTCAGCAAACACTGCCCATAGTCAGCACCTTTATCTTAGGGCTGCAGGAAGGCAGAAAATCCTAGTATTCCCAACACATCTACTTACTAGTAAACATGATAAAGGTGAAATCTGTTAGTGTTTAGGGAGATGACGTTCCAAACACCTGCTATTTAGATTGGCTGCAGGTAACCCCATGAAAGAACTGGACTCTGGTCCCTGAAGCTGCTACAGTAAACATTATCTGTGTGTAATGGAGGGAATATTGACTGAAAAGGATGAGTCTTTTGTAGAGAATGCAATTGATTTTCTAAAAAATAAACACAGTTATTGGCAGAGAGCCTGTCAGTGGTTAATTAGAAAGGGAATTTTAAAAATTACTTTTAAACAAGAGCTTAACTTTCTTAGGGTGAATGTCACTGAATTTGCTGGGAAATGGTAGAAAACCTTAACATGGGTTTAAGCAAAAACCAAGATGGATATTCTCAGTCGAGAAGTATGTTTAGCTTAATTCAGGGATCCTTTCACTCTAGGGTGAGTTTAGTCCTTCAAAATAGGAAGAATTTTAGGCTGTAGGCCACAGCAAAGGGGGCCTTTGTTGCCACCTTTGGATGCATTGATGGGACTGAGGCATGAAGACTGAGCTATACAAAGAAGGCACTGCAGCCAAGGTCTGGGACAGAGCACCTAGGGCAAAACCTCTTGCAAGGACTGCAGCTTGGTCTTCTTTTTGGTTACCTCATGCTGGGCACACTTCCTTATATGTGATAGATGGCTAGAAAGGTGTGCAATGGGTGAGTAAATACATGAGCTGTAATGTAGACCATGAAAGGCTGAGAATACA